>NC_000018.10:77852439-78153795 GCF_000001405.40 Homo sapiens
CAGCTTATAAAAGGATGCACAGACTTTAATATATAAGAAAATTAGCTATAAACATACCTGTATGGCCTACTCTGTCAAGTGCTGGACAGGAATTTCCATTTTGTCTAATTTTAGTGTAATATTGACAGTTAAGGTGGAATCTAATAGTTTCTATCTCATATGTATCTATTAGCTTGGTGCGAAAGTAATTGTGATCTTTACTTTACCTTTAATGGCAACACCGCAATTACATTTGCACCAACCTAATACTCACAATTGTCATATTGAAAACCAAACTTTACCTATTAGATATAATTTGGGAGCAAGGGTGAGTGAGGCTAGTGGAAGGGAAACTGGTTAGAATAAATAATTTATAGTCTGTAATCCTCAAAAAGTTTTGAAATGGCCAAGAAGAATATGCATGATAAAAAATGAATAGATTTTTTAAAATGTAAGTTAAAAGGGAGAAAAGAAAAGAATTTCTTTCACTATATGTTTTCCATTTTTTCTTATGTATGTCATTTTTTTATTCCTCAAATAAGAGATCTGAGACAGTGTACATGAATATTAAAAATTAATGAGAGGAAATAAGTTGTAGGGAAGGAGAGTCGACACTCTCTGAAAAGCCCAGCGGCATGTTTTAGGGTGTTGTGGAGGACAGGAGCACCCGGCCCCATGGATGGTGTGGCTTCACGTGCGTTCCAGGTGGCCGCCCAACAGCCCCGGCCCAGCACCCACTCTTTGCCCCATGATTGGGGCCTCACTGATTCACTTTATTTACTCCGGCTAGGGAAACATTTGTAATACGTTTTGACTGATTATTTATGGGTCCACCATGTTTTAAGTATCAGGCAAGCTGCTGAATTTCATTTAAAGGTAGATTTATTTAAGGGTCATTTTAGTTTGCTTCAAAAAGACCCCTCTGCCCTATGCTAAGGAGGTTCCCCACTGCCTGCCCTGAAGAGCCTTGGAAAGTACTGGGAGAGGAAAAAAAATACGTTTGCTCTTGGTTATAGAATATTCATTTATAAATGCAGTAGCAATGTATTTCTTACAGTTTTCTATGTCTATTTCACATAGTTGAATTAATCCTTCCCTCCCACAGTAAATAACACTGCAAAATAAAAAAGGCGGAATATTGACCTAACCTTCTTAAACCAGACCACTCAGACGAGAGCTGACAGCTGCCCTGCACATTCCCAGTGGCTATTTTAATTTCACAAATCTAGATGGCACGAAAACAAAATTTTGGAATATTGGCTAATTATCTGCACTATACAGGGAATTCAATGTGCAATTCACCTCTTCCTATTTAGCACTTTCCTTGATTCTTCTACCAATTACTGTTGGACTGAATTGATTCCCAAGGTACCAATTGCTCAAAATAACTGACAGGGGGTGCTGCTTCTATAAGTACCAATTGACCTAGGTGGAGGCGATTAGCATACACCGAGGGTCCTAAGAGAACTCGAAGTGTTGAGCGGTCTTGCAGCTGGAAGTGTGAAAGGAACAGTCGGGATTCCTCATTGAACCCTTGTTCATCTCTAGCCTGCATTTCCCCAGCAGTGCCATAGCAACGGCACTACCCAGGCTGGGGCTATGCTGGGGCAGACACCAGGCACGCCGGGAGGCCTCACCTGGATCTCCCAGAGATTCAAGCAGTCAACGGACAAGAGGGGTGGTCAACCTGCACAGCCCGGCGACTCTGCACCTCAGATACTGACGGAGGCCTGAGAGGGTGCTCGACACAGTCCTTGTGAAATGCATCTGAATGCTTTTATTCAAAAACAGAGTTCATTAGCAGTGAAGTTACATCTATCAAGAACATTCTTTATGAGTAGTAGTACAGTACTTCTAAAATACGGTGGGGGGTGTCGGAGATGGCAATTTTGAATTTTATCTCCAAGACTGAATGGACTATTCAATTATGAAAACATTCATATACAGATCAGCAGCATAAAAACCAAAGAGCTATGTGCACGTGGGCATCCGCCCACACTCGTGTCAAAGCAGACCTGAGATCAGCACTTTGGAAAAGCACACACTGGCAGGGGCTTGAGGTCCTCCTTTGCTCTGTCTCTGTGACCTACAGAAGAAACACCTTTGAGACAACTTCTCTCCCTGTCTGTCACACAACACACTGAGATGTAAGATGTGAGACAGGGGAAAAAAAACACAGGTCAGTTTCGGCTGGGTCACTGGCAGTCACCTAAAATGTAAATCTTAAGGATTTTGTAGGAGGCATTTAGCAAGAATAGCTAAATTACACTGGTCGGTTTGGACCTAAATGTGTCTTGACTCTTTGGTGAAGTTCTGTACCTTTTATGGATATGGATGTCATTTAAAGCCAGAAGCTGATAAAGTGAATGAAAAATGAAGCTGTTGTATTGGACTTGTCAAATGATTTCATTGCAAGAGAAGGCTAGGATGCATGGCAAGGAAGTCGGTTCCCAAATCACCAATTCTGATTCTATTAATTGTCCCTGATCTAGGAAGCTGGCACAAATAATTCTGTCAAAAGATTTACTGTGCAGCATTAGATGCTATTTACTGATAAATGATGGGGCACTTCATTAGCTAATGTTGAAAAATCACGGTAGACATAACAGAATTATTAGGGCTTGTATAGAAATCCTATTCTATAATGAGTTATTACTTTAAAATAATAGCAGCAATATGTTACAATTAAGCACTCTAAAAAGGAGCTTTCCACAAGAAAGGTGCCAGCATTTGAGTGATCCCCTGAACTGCTGCTCATTACAAATGAATTTTACTGGCTGTCATCCATCAAAACTCCACTTTCATTAAGTAATTAACAAACACAACAAACTTGTGTGGACCAGCATTACTCTAAGTTACAGTGAGCTGTAAACCTGGAGCGGGGTGGCCGTGGAAGGCCTTCTTATCTTTCCTTTCTTTATTTTTTTCAGCTATGCTAATGCCAGGGGCAGCCTTGCTCCCTAGTCTCATTCATTGTGGTATGGGTGGACATTCATTAGGTGCCTAGCAGGGCAATGCAGTGGAAACGCAGGGCCCTCTCTGCCTCCTATTCATGTTCCTCTTCATGCACAGCTCGACTAGCTAAAATATAATTAGGATCCATTCACAGGACTCTAGTTTCCGGGCATCAAGTGACTCTTACTTTTCCTTTGCTTTGGGTTGCTTCTCTTAGAAACATGAAAACAAAACAGTACACACGACGGCTATAAAATAAGGGACAGGATTTAGAATCCCATTACGCTTAGGAAGCCCTTCCCATTCTCAGGTCAAAGTAAGCATCATCACCATTTTGTAGATAGGTTTACCTATGTTTATGCATTTGACTCTGAAGGCCTCAAGACTCAGGGAAACAACTTACCCAAGGTCATGAAAGTCACGAGAGGCAAAGCCAGACGGGTCACAACCCAGACCTGGCTTTGAGTCTGTGCGGTTTTCCCTACTGGACATGACTTTTCTGTGTGCAGCGCTTGCTGTTTACCTGGTACAGTCTTATGATTTTGTTGTTAGGGGATATAATTTTGACATTGAAGCGATAACATCAGAATTCAGTCGGGAAGTTCTGAGGATTTCTCTTGTCTGAATATAATTGCAGTCATCGTGGATAATTCTGTGTAGTTGTTTAAGACTCCAGGGAAAGGACCTCAATGGCATTTATAAGATAATATATTTTCAGTTGCTTTCCTTTGAAGTGCTTTGACAAGGACAGCATGTTTGTCCCTGGTTAGGAAGATTGGAGCCTGCATGTAGATGTCCAAATTGATTTGAATCCCAACACTCTTATCTTAAAATGTTGAGAAATAGGGAAGTTTTATGATTTATTACCGAAAGTATCAAATCTCTTGGTGACAAAATGCAGCTGCAATGCACGCCCACTAACCCCATCATCTTGCACGTTGCTTTTGATATGCTGAAAATTGCTTCCACTTTTGAAATAGTGAAAATTAATTATTGGCACTTGTTAATTTATGCCTGGAATTGGAAAGTAGGACCTGCATAATAGAAAGGAGTTGTGTCTTCTTTATTGCTTTTTATAATGTGGTCATAAAAGAAATGAAAGTCGTAGAAGACCAGTTGAAAGAGTAGCATGATGTGAAAGTTTCTAAAATAGCCCTGTCACATTAAAATGCAGTATGTCTGGAATTAGGATACATTGCTTAATGCAGATAGTCTATTAACGGCGCAAAAGAAAATTAGTAAGTAGGAATTATATATTTTCTTCTTTAAATATGGGCTTCTAATGAGGCATATTAAACTTCCTTACCCATTTATTGACTAAAAGAGCTTCAGTCACGCCTCTGGATAAGTATTCCTTGTGCAGTATGCCAAAGAGTGTATTGAATTTTGGTTAAATCAAGATAATAATTAAAATCATATATTGCTTCCCCAGCACAATTCCTTAAGGTTAAAATTATTGAATTTTATTTAAGTTTTGCATAAAAAAGTGTGATCAATGCTTCAAGGAAATAGGAGGTATCTTAATCTACCAAAATTTTGCACGCTTTGAGGCAGAATCACCTTTCAGGTGAGAGGAAATACAGTTGTGGAGTTGAAGGAGGTCCCTGTTAAGACGATGTGAAGTGTCATCAACCTTAGAACTGCCAAGAAAAGACCCAGGTTTCTGAGAATGAAGCAAAGTCTAGACCTTCATGCAGGAGCAGGTGCGCCCAGGAGGACTGCCCTCCCGGAAGGTGCCTCTGCACCTGCTCCTAGCTCTGCCAGGAAGAGGCCCAAATTGTAGAAAAGCTTGGTATTGCGTTATTTCCCACTAAGTGTGCTGGAAAAAGATAAGTGAATCCAATGACCCCTTCATTTTATTAAAAATGGGCAATTTTAAAGCCCGATTATATAAGAATTTCATTGCACTTAGTAGGTATAGAAATGATTGGAAGTATCAGCCTTCCACTTTTGGCCCAGGGAGGAGAGGCAGAAATAAAGCAATGATGAGAAGACCGGAATGAGAAAGGGCTCAGGGGAGAGGGCAGGAGAGATGGGCTGGCTTTGCCGCCATTGTCTGTCTTTCATGTAAGAACCATTGGGCTTGGACAGATGGAAAAGCTGAGGTCCTCAGAGAGCAGGTACAAGGCTGGTGGGGGAGCCTCAACTCATCCTGTCCTCGCACTTTACATAGAAAGCATGCTATAAACACGGAAGTCACGCCTTCCAACTTTCCTAGATGGTTATTTATGCTGAAGTCTATAAGGTGCAACTGAAAATGGTCACATGGTACTACATAGTCGACGGTTGTCCCCAAGCCTCTCAGTGAATCCAATGGGCCATTGGCACTGGGGCATTCCCTATCTTCTGTGTAGCTTCTGCCCTGCCTGTGGTAACTTGCACTCTGTCTACGTGGTTGACAGATCACCAGGTTGCTCTCTGAATCCCCTGTGTTGGTTGACATGGCAACCCTCAGCTGATTGTAAAATAGTTTCATATGTGGTATATGCTGATGTGATCGGTTGTACTTATTGATAGCCAGTCTCAGTACTGTACTTAACTAGACAGATAACACAAGCCCAGTCCCTTTAAAGCAGCATCTGGTTAATAGAGTATGGTCCCATAATTCATTTTTAACTTCCCCTAATTGCTCCAGTCATTTCATCATTACAAATATTAGGTATCTGCGGAAGGGAACAGCGATTCTCCTGCCTAGACTGAGGATGCCAGCATGGGTGGGGGCAGTGCTAATCTAATTAGAGAGGTAGCCGAGCTGAACGGCTGCATTTTCTCATGCTCAGCATTCACAAGTTAGGTCCCAGCAGATGTACCATGAAATTAATTTCCTCTGGTGTAACCAGAAACTCTCTGTTATGCAATTTCCATTTCACAGATGATAACCTATTATCACTTTATTCAAGGAAAATGTGTTAATAGCCACAAGGAAAATTGAATTATTCATATTTGCTCATTTCTATTCTGAAGCAAGCTCTTCTCTTTTCATGCATTGGGAGAAGGCTAATGTAAACATGACCAGATCCTTGTAAATTGGCTTGTAGAAGAGGCTGTTAGCATGCTGCCTGGGGACCCTCTGGGATGGGGGATGGCTGATCGCTGGAGTACAGCAGGTGGGAGGCAGGCACTTACCAGGTGGTGATGGAGCTAATGGGAGCCAGGTCAAATGCGTCAGCTGTCAGTGCAGAGTGCCAGCGGTGTTGGATACAGTAGCCATGGGAAGCAGGCACAGTAACAAGTGGCTCAGCCTTCCAGTCCACACCCCTGGGCTGAGGCAGGGCTTTGGGAAGCAGGTGCGGCTTTGGGCCAAGGAAGGCAAAGCTGCCTGTGGGTCGGGGATGAGTCCTGCCTTCCTGATGGAGCTCCCTCGTGAACCTCCCCAGCCCCTGGGGACATACAGTTTCAGGGGTAACCAAAGCAAAGGGACATATTTTTTAGAATCCACTTTGGACCTGAGATTAAGAAACCAAGTTCTCCTCTGAGGTCAGCCACCAAGGAGGCTCAGGTGAGATCAGCCATCAAGGAGGCTCAGGTGAGATCAGCCACCAAGGAGGCTCAGGTGAGATCAGCCATCAAGGAGGCTCAGGTGAGATCAGCCACCAAGGAGGCTCAGGTGAGATCAGCCATCAAGGAGGCTCAGGTGAGATCAGCCACCAAGGAGGCTCAGGTGAGATCAGCCACCAAGGAGGCTCAGGTGAGATCAGCCACCAAGGAGGCTCAGGTGAGATCAGCCACCAAGGAGGCTCAGGTGAGATCAGCCATCAAGGAGGCTCAGGTGAGCCCCGCAGGAGCAGTGCTTTCTCAGGTTTCTTTCTGGGCCCAGCGCTCTGTGGTCAGTTGAGTTTCTTTCCCTGAATTAATGACAGGGCGAGTGAGTTTGAATTGTGAGACGTTCCAGTCCTTCTCCGGTGCTCCCCACTGGATCTTCCTCTAAATTCCAAGAAACAGACAAGGATCCGCTCAGTGCGGCGCAGGCACGTGCCATGCCTGTTTGATGCCTGACTTGGCTCTGCTTCCTGTCTCCTGCGTCCCCTGCCTGCTACCCTAAGGGGGACGAAGCAAAGCTCCACCGCCCCTTTTCCTTCTCCCTACAGCTCATCAGTGCAGCTGAGGGGAGCCGGTCAGGCCCCTTGCGCTCTCCCCGCCCAGCTCCTCCTGAGACGCCACCCAGCTGCCTAGGGCCCAGTGCCCTAAGTGTCCTCTCTGTTGCCACCTGCTTTCGAAGGCCGACACCCGTTCCACAGGAAGAAGGTGCCAAGTGGGGTCGTACGGTGTCTGTTTAGGCATCTTCCCAGACTTTTATCTTTATAGGGGGAGAGGTGAGAGAGAAGCAGAGATAAGACAGAGACCCAGAGAGAGACAGGACAAGAGAGAGACTGAGAGAGAGAGGCTGAGAGAGAGAGGCTGGAGGGAGGCAGGTAGGGATGGCAGTGAAGACCTTTGTGCCCACTCAGAGCCCCGCGGTCCAGGCGGCTGCCATCTGCAGGGCTGCCCTGGGCCAGAGGTCTTCAGCCCGGCTCTCCTTCCCCTTGCCAGCTCTAGAGCCCAGGCAACCCCTTTAAGATCTCATTCCTCCCTTTCCTCATCTGTCCAGCAAGGCTGGTAATGCCACCTCCTTTTACTCCACACACACTGTTGAGCTTTTGGTTTTTCTTGCACTCTGCTAGGAGACCTAAGGGTGCCTGATGCAGGTGAGCTCCCTGGCTTCTGATGCAGGTGAGCTCCCTGGCTTCTGGGAGTTCGCTTTCTACACATGGAGGCAGAGAGCAACCACATGGACCATCTGGAAGCCAGAAAGGTGCTGGGAGGGAGAGCTTGGGGTCTGTGGGACAGCTTGGAGGGGGTCCAGTCAGAGCACCCTCAGCACCGGCTCTTCTCCCAAAGCCAGCGGGAGAAGACTCTGAAGAAGCCTGGGGCAGGGGAAGGAGGTGAAATGCCTACGAGGTTAGAGAGAGGGCACTGAAGCCCAGCTAGTTTAGGGAAGAAGGGTCCAGGGTGGCTCTTGGAAAAGGGAAGTTTGCTCTTGGTGGTGAGCAGCCATCCTTTATGTAATCTGGGTATTATGAAGAAGGATGGAAAGAGTTAGGAGTGAAGGTCAGAGGCATGAGGGTGTCAGGGAGATGCTGCCTGGGGACGAGGACACGCAGAGTCTCCATCACCTCATCTGCATCCCTCAAGAAGCACAGCTCAGGAGCTGAAGATGGGTCATCAGGGAAGGCCTTCAGGAGGGGACATTCCGGCTGAACTTAAAGGAGACAAGACGTTCCGAGAGCTCGATGGAAAAATTTGTCCAAAGCCCTCGGCGTGAATAAACACCTGTCCAAAGCTTGGCGTCGCAGTCCTCCTGTGGCCTTGGCAAACTCTCTGGCTCTCTGCAGGCTGGACGGAGGGGCCCCTCACCTCCTGGGCATTGCAGTCCTCCTGTGGCCTTGGCAAACTCTCTGGCTCTCTGCAGGCTGGGTGGAGCAATCCTTCACCTCCTGGTGCTCATCACAATCACCGCCTTGCACAGAAACACGTAAAAACACCCAGGTCTTCAGAACTGCCTTTGCTTTTTGAAAATTAACATTCCTCTCATTCTAAGGCATGATCAACATAGAGATCATAAAAATAAAGACAAGGCTTTGTGAGATCATAAAATAAAGAATAAATTGAAATCACTTGTGCTATAGATATCATTCTCTCCATTCTGCACTTTTGAGAATGTCACTCTGTGTTAGCATATCAGAACAAAAGAATCCTGAATAAATTCATATAAATATATATCCTGATCACACATTGGACCTGAGGTATTCACCGGCATGGTTGTCTTCGGAGCAACAGAGATTAACTCTTCCATCCTTCGGCTTCTTCAAACCCCCCGATGCTTTCAGCACAAAGACTTATGACCACAATGTAAAAGCCATTATTTATAAAAAGTTGATTAAAATACATATCTGATGTATAACACAGTCTATGGTTTACACTGATATTTAATATTAAGTATTTTAAATCCATATTTTCTAATATATACAAGATTTTATTTAGATACATGAAGCCAATTACTCCAGTTTACAATATAAAGATAGACTGATAACACGACAGTCCTATTTTGAGTTTCAGCATGTAGCTATCACATTGCCTCACGTTTTATTTTTTAATTGATCACTCTATATTGAGATGAGTGCACATTCACTTGTGATTGTAAAAAGTGATTTGGAGAGGCTCCATGTACCATGAATCTAGTTTCCCCAAAAGGTAACATCCTGCAAAACTACAGAACAATATCGCTGCCAAATAATTGAGTTTGGTAAAGTCTATTGGTTATGTCTGGATTTCTCCAGTTTTACATGCACCATGCACCTGTGTGTGTTTGTGTATGTTTAGCTCCATGTAATTGTATCATGTGTAGAGATTCGTGTATCCACCAACACAGTCGAGATACACAGTCAAGATACACAGTCGAGATACACAGCATCCCATCAGCACCAGGAGCCCTCATGCCGCCTCTTACCGCCATGCCCAGCCCTCCTGCCTCCTCTCTTCCACCTCCATCCACCCTGGCTGTCCCATTCATTCTCCACCTCTACCCTTTTGTCAAAATGTTACATAAATGTTACTGTAAATGATGCATTTGGGAGTTGGCTTTTATCATGCAGCATGATTCCTTTCAGATGCATCTAACTTGTGTGTATCAATAATTCATTTTCACTACTGAGTAATATTTCAAGATATGATGTACTGCAGTTTGTTGAATCATTCAGTCATTGGAGGACATTGGGGCTGCTTCTGGATTGGGCTTGTCACAAGTAGAGCTGCTACGAAGATTTTCATTCAGAATTTTGTACGAACCTCAGTTTTCCTTTCTCTGGGATAAATGCCAAGAAGTTTAATTCCAGTGCTGGCACATACGGTAGTTTTTTCTGAGCTTGCCAAACTGTTTTCCAGAGGGGCTGTACCATTTTGCATTCCCAGCAGCGATAGAAGAATGATCCATCCTGGTCAAAATTTGGTGTTTTCAATCTATTTTAACTTTCAGCCTCCTGTTAGGTATGTCGTGGTGTCTCACAAGGTTTTAATTTGCATTTCCCTATTGGCTGATAATGCTGAACATCTTTCCATGTGCTTATTGCCATCATATGTCCTCTTTGGTGAAATGTGTCTTTATGTCTTGTGTGCATTTTCTAGTTGGATGGTTTGTGCTCTCACTGTTGAGGTTTGAGAGTGTCACGTATATCACAGAAATGAGCTCTTCTCCAGACAGGTGGCTTGCAAACGTTTTCTCCTAGCCCATTGCTTGTCTTCTCATTGTCTTAACAGGCTTTAACAGAGCAGTTTCTTGTTTGGATAAGGTCCAATTTACCAATTTTTTCTTTAACAAAATATGCTTTCAGTGTCAAGTCTAAGAACAAGTCCCAAATGCAGGAAATTTTCTCTATTATTTTTCGTAAATTTTTTTTTATTTTTCTCTTCCATTTAAGCCAAGTTGAGTTAATTTTTGTATAAGGCGTGAGGTTTAGGTTGAAGGGTATTTTTTGTTTGTTTGTTTTTGCTTATGAATGTCCAATACAGCCGCATTTATTGACAAGGCCATATTTCCTGTAATGAATTTCACACTTATGAAAGTCCAATACAGCCCCATTTATTGACAAGGCCATATTTCCTCTAATGAATTTCGCAGCATCTTTGTCAAAACTCAGTTGGGCATATTTGTTTGGGTCTACTTTGGGGTTCTCTATTTTGTCCCATGGAACTATGAATCTATCATTGTGTGAATACTGTACTGTATTGACGACTATTACTAGATAGAAATACTTAATATCGAGGTGAATGATCTCTCATGTTTTATGCTTTTACTGATAAAGATTGTTTCAGTTATTGTAGTTTCTTTGCTCTTCCACAGAAATTTTAGAACGAACTTGTAGTATGTCTATGAAACATCTTGCTGGGATTTTGAAGGAAATAGAATGAAGCCTATAGATCTGTTTGGGGAAAATTAACCTTTCTCTGTGATGTCTTCCAATTAATGGACACAATATGTCTCTCCATGTATTTGGATCTTTATTTCACTAGCATTTGATAATTTTCAGCCTCTGGATCCTATCTGGGTTCTGCTGTGTTTATACCTAAGCATTTCACTTTTTCCCATTGAGGTGCTGAGCGGGCCCAACCCTGCTTAGCTTCTGAGATCAGACGCGTGCGGGGTGTTGTGGCTGTAGACAATATTTCATCTTCTTTGGAGCAGTTATACTTGGTAATTGTGAACTTTAGTAATCACATACTCATCGTTAGTGGTAAAGAGAAGTGTGATTGATTTTCATCTGTTTGCCTTCTATCCTGCAGCCAAAGTAGAATCACTTATTAATTCTAGGAGAATTTTGGAGATCCCCTGCGATTTTTTGGTGCATACACGTTAAAGATCATTTTGTCTTCCTGCTGGATTGATCTTTGTACCCTTATTAATGTTCCCCTTTGTTTCTGGTAATTTTCTTTTCTCTAAAGCTTGATTTACCTTATGTTAATGTAGCCATGTCTTGGGGGAGTGTGTATATGTCTATGTGCTTGCATAATATATGTACTTCCATAATTTTAGTTTCAAACTGTCTTTGGCATTTAACATATTTCTTGTGAAAACATATTGTTGGGTGTGTTTACTTTATTTTTTATTTGTTTTAAAGCCACTCTGATCATCACTACTTCTTAATTGGTGTTACATAACACTATTTTCACTTAAGTTAATTATTGATTAGTGCTCAAATCTGCCATTTTATTTGTTTGTGTTTCTGACCCAGCTGCTTATTCCTGTTTCTGTTTTAGTGCCTTCCTATGTAGTACTGTGCTTGACTAAGGATCCAGTTTTACTTATTTACAGTGTTTCTATTGTATTGCTTTGTGCGTGTTTCTTAGAAATTTTTCTGGGAGCCTTCATACCTCAGTTTCGCCGCTGTGTCTCCCTGAAATGTGCTAGGTTAATTTTACTTCTGTGGGCTCCCCTACCATCCCCACTTCTTAAATATGGTTGACTTGACTCTCAGATGGTATTGGAATTATCTGGCAATTATCAAATAGATGACTTCAGTATGAGTTTGTTCGCTCACTGCTATAAAGAAATACCTGAAACTGGGTAATTTATAAAGAAAATAAGTTTAATTGGTTCCCCTCCCACCTGGCCCCTCCTTCAACACTGGAGATCACAATTCCACATGAAGTTTGGGCAGGGACACAAATCCAGACCATATCAACTTAGACGGGAAGAACGGGCTCTTCCTGCTGTCTCCTTTTCCTTTGTAATGCTCCCAAACTCCAAGTTGCTATTTCGTTTTGCTTTTAGGACTTCCTTAAGCCAGTCTTCAAGGACAGGTCTGCTGGCCACAAATTCCCCTTGTTTTTCTCATCAGAGAGTGTCTTTATTTTCCCTTCATTATGGAAGGATCTTTTCACCAGATACAGAATCTGTGGCTGATGGTTATTCTAATTCAGCACAAGGAAAACCTTGTGCCACTGTGTGTGGCCTCTGCAGTTTCACAGGGAGAGTCTGCTGTCATTTGAATTGCTGTTCTGTGGATAACACATCGTTCAGCTCCTGTCCCTTTCAAGACTTTTGCTCTGTTACTCTTCAGGAGTTTCATCACGATGCACATTAGCCTGAATTTACTTGAGTCTATCCTCTTTGGGGTTCATGTAGCTCTTTGAGTCTATGTGTTTACATCTTTTGCCAGATCTGGGAAGTTTTCAGTCGTTATGTTATTCAAATACTCTTTCATCTCACTCTCTTCTCTTCTCCCTACTGAATTCTTATGAGATAAAAGTTGGGATTTTTTGGTTGTTGTCCCATAGGTCCCTGAGCTCTGTTTATTTTGGAATTCTTAAATTCTATCTTCTCTCTGTTGTCAGATCATGTAAATCCCATCAACCCGTCCTCATAGCCACGGACCCTGTGCTCTGCCATCTATACTCTGCTGGTGAACTCACCTGGTGAGTTTTATGTATTCAGTGATTGTATTTTTAGCTATATAATTTCAGTTTGTTTTTAGTGTAAGTTCTATGTTTTCGCTGATTTTTTTCTCATTTGTTTCAAGATAATTTGTAACTGGTTGTTGAATTACTATTATGACGGCCCTTAAAAATCCTTGGCCGCAGTTTTGACATCTGGTTCATCTTAGGGTTTGGTGATGGTTGATTGCCTTTGTTCAAGTTGTGATATTCCTGGTTCTTGGGATGATGAGTGATTTTTTGCTGTGTCCTGGGCATTTTGTCTGTTACGTTAGGAGACCCCGAGTCCTTAAACTTCCTATCGAAGCAGCATGTCCTGGTGTCGTTGTGGTCGTCTCGGTTTCTGTGCCACGCTGGGTTCCACCGGATTCTGCTGGTGGCGTCTGGGGCCAGAGGAGCTTCCCCGGGCTGGTGGTGCAGGGAACCCTGGCTCTCCATCTCCCTGGGGGACAGGACTCTTCAGCCTGGGGAGGAAGGGGCTTCCCACGCTGGCTGTGCTGCTTGCATCAGCTTCACCTTTGCTGGTGTTCCCTGAAGCCCTGGTGTCTGTGTTTCTTGTGAGGAAGGAGAACTTTGGGTTTGTAGAACCAAAAGGCTGCCTGACCCAGCTCTTGCGATGAGATCCCCTCCTGCTGGTGCCCAGTCTTGTCTGGATGTGTCCGGGTTGGGGAGGAAGCCGAGGCCCCGCAGGGAGGCAAGGACGCCTGTGGTACAGGACGCTCTGGCCAAGCCCTGGGCCTTCCGGGACTCACCTGCGGCTGGTGGCAGAACCTGTTCCCTCCAGGCGGACAGAGCCTCCCTGCTGCCTTCTGCCGCTCACACACGCTGGGTTGGTACTTTAAAGAGTGTGTTTGTGTCATTAGTTAGATAAAAAAAATGAGTTCCAGAAGCTAATGGAAGTTGGTATCTTACAGTCCTCTCTTGCTTAGTTGGCACCATCTAATTGAGCTTTCCTTTCTTCAGAAACAATTGCCAAATTAACCCACTGACAGGTCCTGATCCAATAGTTTCCACACCTGGCTGCATTTTCCCTTACCTAAAATGGTAAAATTCTGTAACTATGTGGTTCTCTACAGAATGAATGGATTAGCTCATCCGTGGTGGTGGCAAAGGGTGACCAGCAGTCTTCGAGGCTCTTCAAGTCATGCAGAGGCACCTGCCTGGCTCTGTCCTGAAGATGGCGTCTGGGAACTACTACAGTCTCTTAAAATCCACACGTCCCCCCTCAGACTGCTGGAGGTTAGTCACGTTTTGTGGTTATAAAGTAATTTCAAGGGTCAACGTATGCTATTACATTCACATTCCTATTATGCAGGAGCACATTAACCATTGTAGATTAACCATTATATTTTACATCAGAATAAATGCTCGGGTCTTAGGAAGAAGGGGAACAGCTGACAACCCCCCCGCCTCCCAGTAAAGAGCAGCATCAACATGAAGGCACTAAGGGGAATGACGTTGGGAACTGTGCAGCAGCCGACGCCCTGGCTCTGGTCTGGAGCTTGGTACCCACACCTGGATGTGTGCCTGTGTTACTGAGCAGGTGAAACAGACTCAGCTTCCATCGGCAAAACCCACCCAAGTTTGGACGCTGGACAGGGAGCTTCCGTTTCCACATCTTTCTCCTCCAAGGACTTATATGTGACCCGGGCCATTGAGAGGCACATTCACGGCAAAGTCTTCAGACAGTATGAAGAAGAGGCCTGTTGGGTGGACAATCCATGGGCCGCATGCAGATCACAGTTGGTGAAGAATCCTCACCCCCCAAGTCCCAAAGGGCAATGGGAAGATGTGTTCTCCCCAGGGAACCTGTGTGCTCACCTGTCCCGAGGTTCTGCAGGTGTGGCCTGGCTCTCCCATGTGGCACAGGCAAGGGTTGGGGCTGGGCCGGCTCTTCAGCTGCCTCTGTGTTGCCTGTGTGAGCCCTGATGGAGCTTGCTCAGGCCTCAGGGTCATCTATGGCCACTGCCCACCCACCCACCTTCCTCTCCACCTGCAGTCAGTCACCCTCATTTTTACCCCGGGCCTTGACCATCTGCTTCTACTCTTCCGTCTCAGAGTCCATTGTTTTGACAAACACTTCATGTCCAGCCTCACTTGGGTAACTCACTTTTGAGGTTAGGAAGCATTTTCTTCTCCCAACAGAATCTGGATTTGTTTAAAATGCTTGTTTTGGATGTGGGCTTCACGGGTCTGTTCAGGGAGAAACAAGCAAACAAGGAAGGGTCAGCCATTCCCCTCCTTCCACGGTGGTCTCTAAAGGAAGGGTCAGCCATTCCCCTCCTTCCACGGTGGTCTCTAACAGACCAGTTTTCATGAGGCTAAGGTGCTTGTGTGCCTCCAAGAGAGGGTTCTTGGATTTTGCACAAGAAAGAATTCTACGCAAATTCATAAAGTGAAAGCAGTTTATTAGGAAAGTAAAAGAATAAAAGATTAGCTACCACAGGCAGAGCAGCCCGCGAGGGCTGCTGGTTGCCCATTTTTATGGTTATTTCTTGATGATATGCTAAACAAGGGGTGGATTATTCATGCCTCCCCTTTTAGGTCATATAGGGTAACTTCCTGATGTTGCCATGGCATTTGTAAGCTCTCATGGCGCTGGTGGGAGTGTAGCAGTGAGGATGGCCAGAGGTCACTCTTGTCGCTGTCTTGGTTTCGGTGGGTTTTGGCTTCCTTACTGCAACCTGTTTTATCAGCAAGGTCTTTATGATTTGTATCCCATGCCAACTTCCTATCTCAACCTGTGACTTAGAATGCCTTAACCATCTGGGAATGCAGCTCAGTAGATCTCAGCCTTATTTTACCCAGTTCCTATTCAATATGGAGTTGCTCTGGTTTAAACGCCTCTGACACTTTTAGAGGAAGCTCTGTGGAGCCCAAGACGGGCAGGTGTCAGCCGCTGGAAGAGCAGGGAGAGGGACAATGGTGCTTTGGGAAGACAGAGTGGTGTTTCCAACCTTGAAGACAGAGTGAGAATGGATTGTTGGGGAAACTGCCTGAAACACAGATTAAGAATGAAGCTCAGGCCAGGGCAGGGGAGGGTCAGGTGATGGAGCCTCTGATGCCAGGGCTGGGGGTGTTTCACCTTATTCTGGAAGCCGTAGTGGTGTGCAGAGTAATGGACCCCCAAAGATGCCCTCACCCTAATCCTGGGACCTGCGAGATTCTCATGTTCCATGGCGAAGGAGGACTAAGGCTACAACTGGAAATCAGGCTGCCAATCAGCCGACCTGAAAACCAGGGTTGTCCTGGACCATCAGGTGGGCCGAGCATGATCACAGGAGCGCTTAGATGTGGAAGAGGGAGGCAGAAGATTCAAGAGGGATTCCAGAGACTCAATAGGCCACTGCTGACTACAAGGCTGGGGGAAGGGGCCATGTGAAAAGGAAGGTGGAAAAGGCAAGGACAAGGTTCTCCCTGGAGCCTTGAGAAAGAAGTGTAGTCCTGCAGGCACCTGGATTTTAGCCCAGGGAGACGCACATTTGACTCCTGAGCTCAAGACTGTGAGATAATAGATTTACCCTGTTGAAAGTCACTGCAGTTGCAGTGGTTGCTAAGGCAGCCATAGGCATGGGCAGACATGCCACAGGAAGGCTGTTGTGAGCAGAATTTCAGCTAAGGGCCTTCCAGCAAAGGGCCATCATGAACAGAATTTGTACACAAGTGCCCTTGATGAGAACACACCTGTAGGATTGGGTGGCAGGACAACAGCCCAGACCCCGGGTGTGGACTCCTGCAGGAATCCAAGCAGAGGTGGACGGCTGTGTGGTCACAGCAGGGGCAGCAGGGATGGGGTGCAGGCAGGCAAGCGCTTGAAGGATAAGAAGAAGGCAGAAATTCCGCGGCTCGGGGCCCACAGCCTGGAAGGAACAGGGGGCGATGGCGTGCTTAAGGGATAAGAAGAAGGCAGAAATTCCGGGGCTCGGGGCCCACTGCCTGGAAGGAACAGGGGACGATGGTGTTCAGGAGTGGGCTTCTCCGGGGGACGGTGGCCCCAAGAACCGAGGAGGAGCTCGATGGGGGTCTGAAGGGTCTTCATGAGCCTTGGATGGGTTGGCTTTGGGTACGCATGGGAAATACGCAGAGGGTGGCGTTGTGGGAGAGTTGTGGGAGTGAAGAGGAAGTGCTGCGCTCTAGAGGGAAGTTCAGAAGTTGTTGGGGTACAAACGATAGCTGAAGTTGACCAAGGGATTGAGAAGGAAGGAATTGAGAAAACAATGAGGTGGAGGCGGAGGAGGAGCAGAAGGCCAGGATGTAGGAACACAAGGTCAGAATAAGAGGGGCAATAGCGGGTAAAGGACCCTGTAGGGAAAAGAGAGGGAAACATAATGAAAATAAGTAGAAAAACACAGAGAGCAAGGCTGCAGAAGGGATGTTGTCACTCAGAAGCCTGTTAACACGGTGACATTGCCTAGGACTTCTCAATGAATACCCAGTCACGTTTCTACAGTCCGCGAGATCCTTCCTGGGAGTGTAATTGCATCCCCTCTCCCCAGCCCAATGAAGAAAGACAGAGAGGAATGAGCGGAATTGGGTTGTGATGTGGAAGAGGGTAGAGTCAGCCCAATTCTTAGGGCATGGCGGTCACTAAAATCCGCTAAGAACTAGACTAACTCTACCTTCTTCCATATCCCAGAACATGACTCAGAATGCTGCTCTCTCTCTCTCTCTCTAAAATAAAGGATCTTTGCAGAACCTGGGCCAAACGCTTGTTAGCCTCAGCAGTGTGAACACAACCACGGGGCTCCTCCTGGTTTCTTCTTCAGCCGTAACTGGTGATAGACGTTCTGAGCTCCATTCGCGTAACTCTCTGAATGCCCTGTATTTTACGCTGCTTCTCTTTAAACAAAGAGACAAATTGCCCTTGAAGACAATACCTCAGATGCGATGTTGCCCTGCGGAGCAAGCTGATGCCCTGATCCTTCCTGCTCCACACATCCAATGCAGCCAGGGATCCCGGCTGAGCCCAGCCGATGGCTTCCCATCCCTGCTCCACACTTTCTAGCCGACTTCCCTGTGGCATGTCTATGGAGATTAAGATAAATTAAAACATTCAGAGCCCTTAGAGCCAGGCAGGATGTACTCAACAGCGGAACCGCCGCTCCCTGGAGCTGGGCCTGCGTGCACCAGAGCCAAGTCTCACATTTCCGGGAATTCTGTGAGCCAGTGGTAGCTTGAAATCAGCCACAGTAGGAAATTAGCAGACATGACAAATTGGGTTTTTGTTTTTGTTTTTAGTTTTGGAGAACCAGTTGTTAAACATTTACCAGCATACTGCTGGGTTGCCTTTTGAATATTTTAATAGAGGCTTGTTTGTTTAACCCACTTGTAGAATCATTTTATCTCCTTATTTTACTTATCATAATTATTTGGAATTTAATTTTTCATTTCTTAATGTCTTCCTCCAGACCTTACTACCACCACCCAGCTTTTGTCATCCTCAAGTTGGATAAGTTTGTTTGTTTTAGTATAACACCTTCTACAATTCGCTGACAAAATTCTGCGAAGGATGAACTGAAATAGAATCTGAAAAGAAGCAGAGAGTTGCAGAGGGAGAATCTGCGGAGTCCAGGGTGGTGAACAAGGAAAGCCTCAGCTCACTGAGCAGGGCAGGGCCTTGGAAGGTGCTGGCTGGATCACAGGCTCCACAGAAGGCGGGAACAAGGCTCTGGACCAGCAAAGCAGCCAGAGGCATGACTGGGCTGTGGGCAGGACAGGGCCATGGGAGCACTGGGAGCCCCCTCTGTGCACCTGCGCCGGGCGTCAGTGGCTGCGGCCACCAGGATCCACCTTCCTTCTTCCAGATGCCCCTCTCTCAGCGTTCAGACTCGAACGGTCATTCTGCTGCCTAGCTGTGGAATTACACAAAGCACATTGCCTGGCTTCTTTTTTCCATTTTCTAAATCGATCCTCACTGTGGAAATTCTCTACAGGAAGATGAGAGTAGTCAAAAAACTTCCGGTGAGGACTGTGGTACAAGCACTAGGTGACCCCAAATTGCACAGACCCAATTTCCCACACTTGCACTTACCAGTAAGTGTTTCTCCTTCATTCAATTCTATGACCACTCATGTAACCAACATGCACTCAGCTTCCTTCTAAAGGAACAGCCCAGTTTTCTGAGTTTTTGCACGTAGCTCTAAGATCTCCTACATACTTTGAAGTTCAATCTCAATATTCCTCAAGTCAAGGTCAACCTTTCTATAGAAAAGAGTCAAGGACAGTGACCCCATAAAAAATAATAAAGGAAAGAAAGAGAAAAAAAATGATGCAAGAGCAAAGAAAATAAAATTTAAAAAAGACACAGCTAAGGACTTTACTTGAAAACAATGTATCCAAGGAGTAAGTGGGGAACCTGTCCTAGGATAAGTGGACTCTCAGAGGACGGCTGGGATTCTTCAAGACCTCACCGAGCTGCCAAAGTCCCTTCTGACTTTGGTGGATTGGCTGCACCACCAGTGCAGCCAATTTGGTGGATCAGCTGCATTGACTCCAGCCACAATTGCTACCTAAAACTCAGCCTGTGGTTTCACACAGAGGCCTATACGCCGAGACCAAAGAGAAGGAGAAAGTCGAGAGTGCGTTAGGGCCCTGTGATACCTCGACGGAGCGGGAGGTGGACACTGTGTTAAAGACTCCTTGCAGATGGCCCGAAGGAGAATGGAGACAAAACGCCCCTCAAGTCAGGAGGGATGGGCAAGTGGTCTCCCATGCCACAGAGAGTTCCAGTAAATTCAGGGCATTCAGGGCGGCAGAAAAAAAGCTCTAGACTGACCGTCAAGTGAAGAAGTCATTGCTGTACTTGACGGAAGTGGATGTGGCGGAATGTGAAGCGGAACTCGCACAGAACAATTTAGGCTGTAAAGGGAGGGTGGGGAAAGGAGTGAGGTCGGAAGAGAGCGCGGCCTCCTGCTTCTGAACTGGGTCCCATTCCAGCAGCTTCAGCATTGGCAGCTTGTTAGAAATGCAAGTGCTCAAGCTGAAGTTTGACAACCACAGCTGTGGCTAGACCTTCAAGGGAGCTTTACTTCAATAAGAAGGAGAGGAGTGGGTGACAGGCGCCATCCTGGCTGTGATCATATAAGTGCCCAGGAGGCTGAGTGGGTGAATCGGCTGAGGCCGGACAAGGGAGATGACTGTCAGAACCAGGTGCCAGGCAGGAGAAAGGGGGTATATCCCACAAGCAGAGGGCTCAGCTGGGGAAGACAGAGGCAGGGCTCTTCTTACCTGAGATTTTAAAAGCCTCCTAGGAACTTTTATTTCAAATACATCAGCTGGGCACACTGGCTCATGCCTGTAATCCCAGCAGTTTGGGAGGCCATGGTGTACAGATCACCTGAGTTCAGGAGTTCAAGACTGGCCTGGCCAACATGGTGAAACTTTGTCTCTACTAAAAATACAAAAAACAAAATTAGCTGGGCATGGTGGTGGGGGCCTGTAATCCCAGCTACTCAGGAGGCTGAGGTAGGAGAATTGCTTGAATCCGATAGGCAGAGGTTTCAGTGAGCCGAGATTGCACCATTGCAGTGAGCCGAGATCGCGCCATTGCACTCCAGCCTGAGTGACAAGAGCAAGGCTCCATCTCAGAAATAAATAAATACATATATACATAGATTATTCTCCCTGCCCTTAGAGTTGATTAGTGAATATATATCCGTTTTCAAAATCATCAAAAAATCTTTCACTATTATCTTCAGTTACCCAGATTCAAATATCCCTGATGTCTTAAAGTAAAATCCCAAATGCCTGTTTTCCAAAGAACCAATGTCTTCAATATACTCTGCTGTTTAGTGTGTTAAGTAATTTAGGTGAACCAGAAACATGTTCCATCCTGAGAACCCAAGAATCTTTGTTTACAGTTATTTTAATCCCCAGTGAATTATTTAAAATAGCTATGCATGTTATTATATTGTTTTCATCAAGGGCATTTGAGCATGTTATGACATTAATTATAGTCTGTGTAACGTAAATTGAATACAACAGAAACGGTGTATTCTGTTGGGCAGAAACATGCATAGTGGGTGTGATGGTTAATACCAGGTGTCACCTTGATGGGACTGAAGGATGCCTAGATGGTTGGTAAGGTATCGTCTCTGGGTGTGTCTGATGAGACTGAAGGAAGCCCAGATGGCTGATAAAGAATCGTTTCTGGGTGTGTCTGACGGGACCCAATGATGCCTAGATGGCTGGTAGAGTATTGTTTCTCAGTGTGTCTGGGAGGGTGTTGCCAGAGAAGATGGACATTTGAGCCAGTGGACTAGGAGAGAAAGGCCCACCCTCGATGTGGGTGGGCACCATCCAATCGACTGCCAGCGCAGCTAGAACACAGCAGGCAGGAGAGGGTGGGATGAGCAGTTTGCTGAACCTCCTGGCTTCCTTCTTTCTCTCCCTGTGTCAGATGCTCGCTTCTGCTCCTCCTGCCCTTGGACATCAGGCCCCAGACGCTTCGACCTTTGGACTTTGGGACTTGCACCAGTGGCTTTTCTGTGGGCTCTCGGGCCTTTGGCCACAGACTGGAGGCTATGCTGTAAGCTTCCCTGCTTTTGAGGCTTTTGGACTCAGACTGAGCCACTGCTGGCTTCTCTCTTCCCCAGCTTACAGACGGTGTTGTGATCATCTGAGCCATTTCTCCCAGACACTCCCTTTCCCACGTGCATATTAGTTCTGTCCCTCTGGACAACCCTGACTACTTCGGTGCGTTCTTCAGTGACTTGCAGTTTTTATCTGGTGTTAGATATGTGTCTTAAAAATACTACTACTATTGACACAGTGGTGTTGCTTTAAAATAATTTTTGTAGCATCATTCACCACTATTTATTTAATGGGAGACTGCTTTAACAAAAGTAAACCATCCCTTTTCCATATTCAAAGGAGTAGCTACATTCAGTGGTTTGGTGAAATTCAGAGGGATGTGTCTACTTAGAGGTGTTCTCCACCAAAAAGAAAAGCTGGTTCTCTGTTCCGAGGTTCAGAGAAAAGCGGAGGGAAAAACAAAGAACTGTTAATAAAATTCCAGTTGAAGGGATCACACTTTTATGTACTTGTAGGGAGTGTATCGACTTTTAATCCTGAAAGAGGAGAATGGTTTTGATTCTTTTGGTCAGATTTATAAGATAAGTTTCTTTCTAAAAATCTGTCTTGAGCATAAAAATAGCCCCCTCTGTCTATTTTTAAAGAAAAAGCCATGACGTGAATACATCACGTTTTCCTTAGAGTTTGTAAAAACACTTTGATTTCTGCTTATGATGGAAAAAAAATCAGAGGCATTCCAGAGCCCCCTCCTCCCTAAACCTGATGGAAATGTGAAATTACTGATGGTGTCAACATTCAAGGCACAGCCGAGCGATGAGTGTGGTCTGCCGACCTCTAGGCTCCAGGCACCGTCAGCGGACGGGGCGTAGCTTCTTCGCGAAGGCGGCACTAGCTGCCACTTAAAGCACCAAAATAAGTCATAGGAATTTTATGTCAGTATTTGTGTGGAAGATGGAAAAGTCTACATGATTTAAAAATACATTTTCCTTTAAAATAAACTGAACAGGATTCCAAAATTAAGCAAGTTCAACAATGGCAATATAATGAAATTGATTCTTGTAAAACAGCTTAATGTCTTTCAGTAAATGACTTACTCTAGGGTGTTAATAAGACCAGTGTTCATGATACAATACTTGACCCAGACAGACCTCCCCACGCAGTATAGCTCTGTTCATCTGCCCGCCCCTCCTCCATCCACCCGCCCAGCCTCCACCTCTCCACCCTCCTCCTCCGTCTGCCCTCCCACCCCCAAACATCCATCCCCATCCCTCCACCTCCCCACAGCCCTCTCTGTGCCCATTTTTCCAGCCAAGAACTGACCATCCACCATCCACTCATCCCTCCTTCCCCCAAACACCCCTCCACCCAACCTCCACCCTCCACAATCCACCACCCATTGCTCGAGTGTCTACTGAGTAATAAGCAGATTTAGACAATGATAATGCAATTGTGAGGAGACACACTCTCAGGAGTTTCCCGTTCTATGGGAGAAACACGTGAGTACATAGGAAATTACAATACACCATGTGTAGTACTGTAATGAAATATTGACTTCCCAGATAATTAAAGGACAAATAGGAGTGGGATATGGGGATAAAGGGGGTTCCCTGGAAAGGGGAAGGGTGAAGAACCACGATGTGCAAAAAGAGGAGAGTGATGGTGTAGCCAAGGAATATTAAATATTCTCATATGGCTGGAATATTGCATTTGGGAGGAGATGCACCTTATAAAATAAATTTAGATTTTGAAACTATCTGATGACAGCAATGATGTTTAATTACAGCCTTCCCCACACAGAAAGAAAGAAAACTAAAAGGATTTGATTAATATTTCACTAGCCTCACTTTTGCTATACTGTAAGTATCTCACTGGGAAATCAAAAATAATACTTTTATTCTGTGGCCATAAAAAATTTATTACAAACATGGTCATGAGTGGTGGAGGCACAAGAAAAATCACGAGAAGTTGTGTTTAGATTAATGAGACTGATAACCAATACCTCCCTCCCCCAAAAAAATGTATCTTAAGAAGTCTGTATCTCATTTATAATAGACCAGTAATTTCCCTTTTGTGATGGTTTAAAGGAGGCAAGCTTTTACTGGAACCAGGAATAATTCCCAAATTATTTGTGTCTGAGGCTTATGCAAGACCCACATAAGAGTTATATATTAGAAATGGTTCTGATTATAGAAATTCAAAATGAGAAAAATGACACCTTTCTCTTGACTTTCTTCCCGTTGAACAAACAAACAAAAATACCAATGAACACATTTTTTTAAAAAAATCAAAGATGATACCAATAGAAAATAATTTGAACTCAAAGCTGGAATTGATTCTAATTTTTATTTCCTTCAGAATAGCATTGCAGTTCCTTTGATGATGCTATTGCAATAATCTATGAAAATAAAGAAAGAAGAAACAGCAGCTGGCTGGTTCTTCACGTCCAACGAGGGCACACTCTCCACGGAGCCGCCGTTTAGAATGCTTGACCTTCACACAGACAAGCTTTCACAGGACTCTTCAAGGAACTGTGCAGATAACCAATGGAAACGGGAGCGAGGCACTGGGAACATTACACAATGTGAGCATAGGGTACGGATGCTCAAGCTTCTCTAGCCTGTGCCCCTGCCTGGGACCACGCCATGTCACCCCCATGGACGGGCACCCCTCCGAGCGGACACTGCCTTCCCTCTCCAGCGACTGGGCATCTTAACTCAGTGCCTTGTCTGGTGGGAGGAAGCTCTGGGCTCACCTAAACCCTCCCTATTGAAACCGAAGCCCATTTCCTCTCTTCCTATCGTCAGTGTAGAGAGGAACAGCTGGTCACCACCCTCCACATAATAACCCTTCAGCATCCTGAAGATGGTTATTAGGTCAGCTTCTCTTCTCCAGGCTAAATAATCACAGATCCTTTAATCTTCCTCATAGGTCCTATTTTCCGAGTCTTTAATCGTTTCTGCTGCTCTCTACTGAATCCCTTTCAGCTGCTTAAGTCCTGGTGTGTCACCTCTTCAGAGGGGTGGCACGCACCCTTTGAAAAGCTGGGCAGCCAAAGACGTAGCAGGTATGTCTCCAGTGACAGAGACGTAGCAGGTATGTCTCCAGTGACAGAGACGTAGCAGGTATGTCTCCAGTGACAGGCAAATTCGGCCCCACAGTACAGCCAAATGGCTGTGAAAGCCGCTCCTCTCCATTCCTTCGGGCAGGTGGCAAACAGGGCAAGACACTCACCTCCTCCCCACCGGCAAAAACAGAATCATGACAGTAGTAACGACAAACATAAAAACTAAACTGATGACACAAAAACAAGAGACTGAGACCAATGTCAAGTTTTTAAAACTGTAACTATGGCAGTTGGGATAATATAAATAATTACCATTTGGACTGGATAATGCATCTCATGTGATTTTTAAAAAATAATTCACAAGCTTCCTACATTGGTCTTTTTTGTTTTTAAATTTCCAAATGACTTTGTTGCATCCTTTTCAGCATAGGGTCCAGGTCTTCTTCTGTCAGATTCCAACTCCATCGACTTCAGTTCCCACAACAGGGCCTTGCGAGCTGAGATGCTGGTGGGAATCACCTGAAGGCCACCTGGCCAGCCCCCCGAGAGCTTGGCTGCTGCGTGTGCTGTGGCCTGGGCTTCAGTGTGTTTGCAAAGCTCCCCAGGTGAACATAACGTGCACCCAGGGTGAAACTGTAGCCGTGAATGTCTCCCAGGCAGCTCCCCACACACATGCTGGTAGGATCACTACACTGCACTCCCTGGGCTGACCCTTGTATCTCCTCTGACCATTTAGTTAGATTTCTTGGTCATGATTAAATCTGTTCCTATTCTCTATGGTGTTATCTGCTCCTTCCAGCTTGGTTTCTTTGTACACTTAATGAACATACTTCCCATCCTATCATTCAGAAAATTAATGAAAGTGCTTAAACAGCATTGAACCCAGGATTTTCCTAAGGGAAACACCACCTGTTATGTTCTTTCATATTGACATTGAGCCACTTGTAAGTATGCTTTGAGTCCAGCCTCAAGTATGATTTTACTTATGATTTAGGCAGTCTTTTCCCATATGTTGATTGGAATTTCACACACAATGAACCCAAACATCACAGAAAACAATGGGGAACTGGGGTGGAGTTTCATTTTTCCTGTGGCTTAAGTGGAACATTTCTTTTCTATCTGATTAAAATTGTTTTGTGGATTTTCTTTATTGATTAGCTACATACAAAAGCAGTTAACACTATTTCTGAAAACGGAATGAACTTCTTTAAACTAATTATATAATATTTCATTCACATTAATTTTTTAATATTTAAAATATAACCAAGCATATAATAGCTTCAATTAATTTTCAGAATATGTTTTCAAAGTCAGGATCTATTTTTTGAACTTTTATTTTAGGTTCAGGGTACATGTGCAGGTTTGTTATATAGGTGAATTGCATGTCCTGGGGGTTTGGTATATAAATTATTTCATGAACGAATCCCAATAAGCATAGTCCCTGCTCGGTAGTTTTTGGATCCTCACCCTCCTCCCACCCTCCACCCTCCAGTAGGCCCTGGTATCTGTTGTTCTCCTCTTCGTGTCCATATCAAACTCAAGATATTTTAATACCATATGCTTCAGTGCTGATAAGGGCCTCACCTAAAGCAGTGGAAACATTTTTTGTTTGTTTGTCTGTTTTGTTTTGTTTTGCTTGAGACAGAGTCTAGCTCTGTCACCCAGGCTGGAGTGCAGTGGCGTGATCTCAGCTCACTGCAAACTCTGCCTCCCAGGTTCAAGAGATTCTCCCACCTCAGCCTCCCGAGTAGCTGGCATTACAGGCGCCGGCCACCACCCCCAGCCAATTTTTGTATTTTTAGTACAGACAGGGTTTCATTGTGTTGATCAGGATGGTCTTGAACTCCTGACCTCATGATCTGCCTGCCTCGGCCTCCCAAAGTGCTGGGATTACAGGTAAAAGCCACTGTGCCCGGCCAAGTAGTGGAAACTTTTAAAATCAAAATCTAAACAAGCTTTTAGATTCATTCAATGAGTATTCATTGAACACCTACTATGAGCCCAAAAGATCAATACAAATGTATTCTGAGCCCTTTTATATCCATGTCTATACTTGGTAGATGGCCTTACTCTTGGACAAGGATGCTGAACCATCTCTCGTCATAGCACATTGTGGTTCTTCTCAGAGGGAGTCGGTGCTTCCTAGATAGAGACAGAGGAAAGCAACCTCTCTGAAAACAGTGACACATTTCTTTAGATTTGGAAACTGGAATATGACTGGCTTCAACCACTTTAAAATGTTTCCATCCTTTATTATTGCTATTAATCAAAGACAGCCAGGAGAAAATGTCATCTTCTGATTAAGAGATGCCTCTTTTATCCTTTAAAAAAAAATTCCTAGTTTTGTCTATGCATTAGTCAGCAATGCGATACCAAGATGTAAGTCTTTGTCTAAACAAGGAATGGGAGAAATAAAATATATTTTAACCTGTCACCCTGGGTGGGCTTCTTGTGTTCTTCCTAGTTTAGCAATAAAACAACATTGTTTCAAATGTGGCAATTTCCTTTTATTCTTGAAACAAGCAAACTGTAAATTGCAAAACAGAACAGGATAAAAGCATAATTACTGCTTTTTTTATTCATACCATATTAATGTAATATAATTATCCAGTAAGTAGGCAGACTCTTATGAATATTCAACAATAATGGCAACAAAAGGCTGCAAAGTGGTTATTCTAATGAACACAAATAAAACAAAAACTTTAAGGGATGAAATAATTTTTTGGTATGTTTTAAAATGACGCCTGACAGCTGAAGTGTTCCACAGTGGAGTGGAGGCCGAGGCTGGGGGAAGGCAGATGCCAGGTCTTGGAAGGAAGCAGGGAGAGATTCTTACCCGTCCCCATCACGTTAGCCCTAAGTGCACCGGGGAGGGACTAGAGCAACTCAGCGAATCTGCAGAAATAAAAGTGGAAGAAAAGTGGAAACATCAAGCGGCTTGAAGTTCCGCCACACCGTGGCCACGGTGCTCAGGGCCTTCCCCAGGAGGTAAAATCAGTAATTGGCAAGAGAAGGTCAGTGCCACATTGGACACTGGGAATGCAGAGTGCCGGGCAGAGCAGCTCCTGGGGCACAGCAGGCCTGGGTGCAGCGTGGAGGGCGGGGGAAGGAGGAGCCCTGTGGGTGACCCTGGCACCAGAACCTGGATCCGCGGGAGATGCACAGCATGGGAGGGAGGAGCCCAGTCTTGATGTTCGAATGGGCACATCTTGGTTTCTGGAAGCTGTAGCTCAGAAAACAACGCGAACTCCCGCGCATGGCTCGGACGACCTGGTTTCAGGTCTGATTGGGTTGGATTCAGCCCGGATGTACACCAGTTTGCAAGACTGATGTCACTGTGCACTTTCCACCTCAAATTGAAGTTGATCTGAAATATGCACAGTGAATAAAGGAGATCTCAGCTTAAAATGGAACAGTCTGTTCCAATCATGCGGAATATTTCTGAGTTCTCTGAGCTCTGTGCACCAGCACTGTTGATCACTTTGCCTTATTTTGCCTAATCCTGACATAGCTTTGTGAACGTTGTACATTTTTAGTCTTCCTGCTACAGACGAGGAAACAGAATCTAAGAGAGATTAAATTATGTTTCCAAGATCAATTTCCCAAGAGCTGGTAAGGGGCATCCATTCATCCATCCATTGATTCCCTAAGTGTGGACTAAACAGTTACCACATTCTAGGTGGGGGGTGACAGTGATGAGACCCGTAGATACAGTTCCATCCTCATTGCATTTACAGCCCAGAAGAAGAGGCGGGCATTAAACTCCAGTACCAAATATACAAGGGGGTAGAATATAATGAATATGATGAAAAAGTAAAGGACTGCATTTAGAAAGCAACACGTAACGTGAGATCAGGACACGAATATGAAATATCCAGGCAAAAAAGTGCGTAAGTTTATTCAGAGAAGTGGGAAGAGCTCATGCTAAGAGTCTGGGAATGGAAATGTTGTGTGACTGAAATGTGGACAAAATGAAGGTGTACTGATGAGAGATAAGCCTGCGAGTGTGGTCAGTCAGGGGGAGCCATAGTTTCAGTTTACCTAACTGCAGCATAATTGTTGCTAACACTTCATCTCATTCCCAGAAGCATCCTGGTTTGGACACTGATCGGTGTGGCTGTGTGAGCACACATCCTCTTCTACCTGAGTGGAGCACCGGCAGGATAGTCCACGTGTCTCAGAATTTTATATATCCAATACATACGCTCTATGCTTATAACTTAGAAAATATGTTTTATAGAAACAGAATACCACTATGGATAAAGTTACGATTTTTATAAAGATGAAAGTAGGCATGACATAAAAGACAGTTTTATTTAATGATCATTGGGGCTGCTTGTGTATCTGTAGATCTTTGGAAAATAATATGATAAAGACATTTATACTTCATAAATTGTTATGTGTTCATGTCATAGAACTTATTTTTCTTACCTTCACTTGAGCTAAATTACAGATTCTATTAAGATAATAAAAATATTCACATAACTTATGTACCGGTGACCATAATGCCAAATGAGATAACCCCTCTTAAAGCATTATCCTTTTTAGTTTTTCTTAATTTTCCCTTGATAAATTTTACTGTCCGAAGGCAGACACAACTAGAACTGCCAATACAAGTTTTAAAGTAACAATTGGATTCAGAAAAATTTCAGAGGACATTAGGGTATCCAAGGCAATGGTGTCTACCTAACCCTGCATGTCACAATAACTGTGCAGTTAGAAGAAAAACAAATGGAACCACACAGCATGGCTAGAAGAAAAAGACTATCACAGTCCGTTAGTTACCTGTAGTGGAAAGTATCTACATGAAGACTTTTTTCTTGAGCTCTCATGGCAAGACTTCTCAGAGAGTTAGGGGATAATGAAAAGCTGCCCAGAAATAAGAAAAAGAAATACAAGCACAAAGGTGGACTTAAAATCACCCCAAGAAGCTAGAGACATAAATTACCAAGAAAGGATCCTGATAGATCAGAGCAGCTGGGAAGGGGCGTGGGCATACACAAGGCTCAAGGTCATGCCATTGGAAAGCATGGCACTGGGGAGAGAAGATGGTGGACGAGGAAGGAGCAGCCCCTCTGGAGATTTGTTGCAAATAAGAAGCAGGGGCTGGGGAGAATCTTAGGATCCTGCAAGACAAAGGACAAACTAAAGGACAAACCACCTCTCCCCTCCAAGCCACAGTTTGCTACACCAGAGAAAAGGGCTTTTTGCACTAGGAGGCTTAAACCACTATGAACAAAAACGTTGAACTCAAAATGCATATGTATAAACAAACCTTACAAGCAAACTTACTATTAGAAGAAAACAGGAAATAAAAATCATTTCAGGTGGTTACAGTTTTCTCTCTCAATTTTTTCTTTATAAAAAAAAGCGTTATTCAAGCACTCCAGACTTGATTAAATGTCCTTGATAAACATTCTGCAATATTTTTTAAATGCAGCATCCACTTCAATAATTAAAAACAAAAATAATTAAGTAAAAAAAGGAAAGAAATGTTGATTGAACTTGGGAAATAAAAGAAAATACAAAAGCATCTAAAAATGATGACCAGGTCACAAGGTTATAAGAAAGAATAAATTTAAATAAAAATTCAATAAAAATATTGGAGAAAGGAAAGAACAACCAAGAGAATAAAAATGAGGCTAAAAAAACTGTCGGAAAGAAAGGGGTTGAAACAGGCAACAGGAGCTACTAAAGAAGTGAAATGAAACAATGGAACAGAATTGATTCACACAACTCTAGTGGAAGAGAACATTGAAGAAATAAATAAAAGATAAGCCGACACATTGAAAGAACTTTCCAGATACCTGGCATAAATAACTCGAATGATTTTCTCAGGGATGTATCCTATTAAAACAATTAGATTTTGATTTGAGTTCCTTATAAATTCTGGATATTCAACTTTGTCAGATACATAATTTGTGAATATTTTCCCCCATTCTATAGATTGTCTGTTTACTCTGTTGATAGTTGATTTTGCTGTGCAGAAGCTCTTTAGTTTATATAGGTCCCACTTGTCAATTTTTGCTTTTGTTGCAATTGCTTTTGGGGACTTAGCCATAAATTATTTGCCAAAGCCAGTGTCGAGAAGGATATTTCCTAGGTTTTCTTCTAGGATTTTTATAGTTTAAGATCTTACACTTAAACCTTTAATCCATCTTGAGTTAATTTTGTATATAGTTTAAGAAAGGGGTCCAGTTTCATTCTTCTACATGAGTCTAGCCAGCTATCCCAGCATCGTTTATTGACAGGAAGTCCTTCCTCATTGCTTATTTTTTGTCGGTTTTGTTGAAGATCAGGTGGTTGTAGGAGTGTGGATTTGTTTATGGGTTCTTGTATAGTGTTCCATTGGTCTATGTGTCTCTTTTTGTATCAGTACCATGCTGTTTTGGTTACTGTAGCCTTATAGTATAGTTTGAAGTTGGGTAATGTGATGTTTCTTGTTTTGTTCTTTTTACTTAGGATTGCCTTAGCTATTTGGGCTCTTTTTGGTTCCCTGTGAATTTTAAAATAGTTTTTTTCTAATTCCATGAACAAACGACTTTGGTAGTTTGATAGGAATAGCGTTGAATCTGTAAATTCCTTTGGGCAGTATGGCCACTTTAACAATATTGATTCTTCCAATAGGTGAACATGGAATGTTTTTCCATGACACAAATTGGTATCTGTGTTATCTCTGATTTCTTTCAGCAGTGTCTTAAAGAGATCTTTCACCTCCTTGGTTAGCTGCATTACTAGGTATTTCTCCTTTGTGTGGCCACTGTAAATGAGAGTGCTTTCTTGATTTGACTCTTACCTAGAATATTATTGGTATATAGAAATGCTACTAATTTTTGTACATTGATTTTGTATCCTAAAACTTTATTGAAATCATTTATCAGTTTTAGGGGACTTTTGGCTAAGTCTCTTGGGTTTTCTAGGTATAGAATCATATTGTCAGTAAAGAGAGATGGTTTGACTTTCTCTCTTCCTATTTGTTTGCCTTTTATTTCTTTCTCTTGCCTGATTGCTCTGGCTAGCAATCTCATTACTGGGTATATGCCCAAAGAAAAATAAATAATTCCACCAGAAAAACACATACACTTGTATGTTTGTTGCAGCGTTATTCACACTAGCAAAGATATGAAGTTAACCTAGTCGCTCATAAATGGTGGGTTAGATAAGGAAAATGTGGTACATATACACCATGAAATACTGTGCAGCCATAAAAAGTAATGGAATCATGGCTCTTGCAGCACCACGGCTGCAGCTGGAGTTTGTAATCCTAAGTGAATTAACACACGAACATAAAACCAAATACCACATTCTCACTTATAACTGGGAGCTAAACGTTGGGCACTTATGGAAATAAAAGAGCAACAGTAGACATTGCGGACCACCAGAGAAGGGTGGAGGGAGAGGTGGATTGAAAACCACCTAGGGGAACTATGCTTGCTACCCGGGTGAGGGGATCCACACCCCAAACCTCAGTATCATGTAATAAATCTGCACATGTACCCCCTGAATCTAAAATATGAGTTGAAACTATCAAAAAAGAAATAAAACTGAAACCTTTGCATTTTAAAAAACAATCAGATTTTAAGAAAACAAAAAGTCTGCAGGGCTTCAAGGGAGAAAGATCAAACACTTTCCCAGAGCAAAAGAATTAGTTTGACCCCAGAATTCCCAAAAGTAATAAGGAAATAAAATAATAACCGTAATAATAGTGATGACGGTGCAATAATTTTAAGAAAATCAAGGGAAAAGGAAGACTGGAGCAAAGATTTTATAATCAACCATCCATATAACCATCTACATAAGTATGAAGGCTGCAGAAAAATGGTGTTAATCATGCAAAATATAGGGTCTATCACAAACCCGAGCCCTTCTTCAGCAGTCGCCTGGAAGATAAACGTCATCCACCTAAGAGGACTGCAAAAACTTCAGAAAAACCCATAGCAAGAAACTCATATAACTAACAGCTCAAATAGGACTAATATGAAGATGGAGAAAAGCATAAAATAATATGCAAATGACCTGACAAAGTAGACAATGCAACAACTAAAATTCGCAGAAAGAAAGGAAAACAGGAAAGTAGAATAAACTTATATTATTTAGGTAATAGTTCAAAGTCAAAGAATACCACGCAAATCTAGCAAGCCAGATTGTTTGAAACAAATGTTGAAAAACAAACACAAGAGATGAAGATTTTAAAGACGGTATGAGTACAAACGTAACAATGCAAATAAAAACTCAAACTTTCCTAAATGCCAAAATAAATGTGAAGCAGAAAGGGAAAATAAGCATTTTACACAGAGAAAGAATATAACAACAATAACATAATATACATCATAATATTAAAATATTATGACAAAGTTGAGGCAAAATATATCAGTCACATCAATAAATGTAAATGAGCTTCAAACATCTATTAAAAATGACATTCAATCTAGCTCAGTAATCATATACATAAATATGTGTGTGTGCATGCTATATATGTGTATGATTATATACAAATACATGACTTTACATACATACATATATATGATTTTACATACATGCATACATACACATCTACAGTAAAGTAGTTCAGAAACATAAGAATAAAGATATGGGCAAAGATATACCAGTTACATGGAAACAGTAAGAATGCAGGGGTTGCAGTCCTAATACTAATCAAAGCATTATCCAAGCTAAAAAGCATTAATGTGGCAAGAGCATCTTTTAGTACTGAAAGATATAATGCACACTGAAGATATTACAAATGTAAATCCATATGTACCAAATAGTTTAGCACCCATCTTTATAAAGAAGGAACAAGGGAGATGCAAGGGGAAATAATGCAAATAGGGGATTTTAACACTACTCTCAGGCAGATCACACAAACAAAAATATCATTACAAAGAAAACACAATTAAGTTACGTAGCCAAATGTTACAAATAATATTCTCATAATGCAATAACAGTAAAAAGTAATGTCAAATTAAAAGGCCATCCACTTGGAATTAAAAATAAGCCTTCTAAAGTAGATCTTGAGTAAAAGGAGAAATACAAACACTAGTACAGAACTTATGAAAAATAATGGCGAAACACTGAAAATCAGGTACTATGGAAAATACTTAAAGCAGTGATCATGGGAAAAGTCATAGCTTTAAATACTTACATCAGTGTAAATTTAAAAAAAATTTTTTTAAAGCAGATTAAATTCCCAACTCAGAAAACTAGGAAAATAGTAAAAATATCAAAAGGAAATAACAAAAATAAAATCAGAAATTACTAAAATAGAAAATAGGAAAATAGAAAAACTAGGTTTAATAATCTATATTCTTTTTATTGAAATAAAAAGTCACATAACCTATTGGCTAATTTAATTAATAAAAGCTGGAGAGATCACACGTTTAATTACTAAGAATGTCCAAGGAGGAGAAATATAACAGAAAAAATAATAAGATTACTTGAAAATCTCTCTTGCAAATAAACTTTAAACACTGGACAAAGTGGAGAATTTTGTACAGAAAAAGCCTGATTACCAAAACTGACCATTAGAGAAAGAAAACTTAAATAGAGGAATTGCAGAAGGAATAGAGAAGGAGTGCTCAGATAGTTCCACGGGGGAACTGTTCCAACCTTCATGACATTGTTAATAGATGATTCTATGGCACAAAACTCACTACAGAACATACATATAAAGAAAAGCTTTACAAATACTTTCATGAGGATAGTATAACAATAATTTCTAAACCTGCAAAGAATAAAAAAAAATACACCATATGCAAATAGGATTCATTCCTGGAATACAACATAGGTTTAATATTAGGAAACTCATTCACAAAATATATAATTACATTTTATTACATTATGTTTATTATATCTGTTATATAAGAGGTGTAAGGAGAAAAACTTTACACCTTATTTTAAACATTAAAAAACTTTTATCAAAACTCAATTCCAGGTCGAAAATTTTAAAAAACACCGAAAGAAGTAAGAATTGGTAGATATCCCCTGAATGTAGTCCTTGACATACCAGAAACATAATTTCAGAACAGAAAACTGTAATCATTATCTCCATTGCTAATTCAAATTATACTGGACGTATTGCTGGAAACACTACAATTTAATGTGTCATAACAATGAGACATAAAATAATTGAAAAAATATAACTAAGATGATCTCTGTCTACTTATGATATGAGTGTATCTGGAAAGCTAGACAAAGATGGGGCTCACTAAAACAGTAATCAAATTCAATGACATATCAGGAAATCTTATTAATTCACAGCAATCAATATTTTTCATATGCACAAACAATGAGAAATAGGGGATTAATGGTAGAGAAACTGTATTTATAAAAACAGCAGAGGATACAATAATTAGTAATAAGTTTAAAAATATCTATGCAAAATCTACATCAGATATACTTTAAAACATCCTGAAGGGCACAAAGGAAGACTTGAGCAAATAAGATATCAGTTGTTCTTGGATAAGATGACTCAATGTCATAAACATGCAAAACTCACTAGTAAAATAATATTCCAGTAAAAATACGAATATTCTTTCTTAGGGGGCTAGAAAACTTGATGCAAGTGTTTGTATAAAAACATAAATATAAAAGAAAAAAATCTAAGGGAAAAAAGAAAAGAGCAGCCATATGCAAGATGGGCCCTATTGGGTATGGATACACCCAAAAACCCTATAATTAACAGAGTGTGGTTCTGAAACATGGATAAACAGACAAAACAGTGGAATAACATAGAAAACTCCCAAAATACTTTTAAGTACATATTGAATTTAGTATACAGGCAAATCTTGAAAATATTTTTGGGTTCATTCCAGACTGCTTCAATAAAGGGAACATTGCAATAAAATGAGTCACACAAATTTTTTGGTGTCCCAGTGCATATAAAGGTTCTGTTTACACTGTACTGTAGTCTATTAAGTGTGCAATAGCATTATTTCCTTAAAAAGTACATACTGTATTTAAAACATATTTCACTGCTTATAAATGGTAACTATCATCAGAGTCTTCAGTGAGTCCTAATCTTTCTGCTGGTGGAGGGTCTTGCCTTGATGTTGACGGTTGCTGACTGATCAGGATAATAACTGTTGAAAGTTGGGTTGGCTGTGGCAATTTCTTAAAATAGGACAAGAATGAAGTTTGCTGCATTGATTGATTGACTCTTGTTTTTATGAAAGGTACCGTTGTTGCTTGACATGCCATTTGATAGTATTTTAACCACAGTATAACGCCTTTCAAAATTGGAGTCAGTCTTCTCAAATCCCACCACTATTTTATCAGATAAATTTATCTATTATTCTAAAAACCTTTGTTTTCATTTCAACAATGTTCACAGCATCTTCACCATAAATAGATTTCATCTCAAGAAACCACTTTCTTTGCCCATCCACAAGAAGCCACCCCTTGCCCATTCAAGTTTTATTAAGAGACTGCAGCAATTCATTCATGTCTTCAGGCTTCACTTGGAATTCTAGTTCTCTTGCTGTTTCCATCACTTTTGCAGCTTCTTCCTCCACTGAAGCCTTGAGCCCTTCAAAGTCATCCAATCAACTTTTTCCAAACTCTTGTTAATGTTGACCTATTGATCTCCCCATGAATCATAAATGTTCTCAATGGCATCTGGAATGATGAATCCTTTCCAGAAGGTTTTCCATTTATTTTTCCAAGATCAATTAGAGGAATCACTATCTGAAACAGCTATAGACTTGCAAAATTTATTTCTAAAATAATCATACTCGAAAGTCAAGATCACTCCTTGATCCCTGGGCTACAGAATGAATGTGTGTTAGCAAGCATGGAAACTATGTTCATCGCATGTACATCCCCATCAGAGCTCTTGGGTGACCAGGTGCATTGTCAATAAGCAGGAATATTTTGAAAAGAATATTTTTTTTTTCTGAGCAGTAAGTCTCAACAGTGAAGTTCATATGTTCAGTGAACCATCCTGTATACAGATGTGCTGTCATTCAGGCTTTGCTGTTCCATTTCTAGAGTACATGCAGAACAGAGTTAGCATCATTCTTAAGGGCCCTAGGAGTTTTGGAATGGTAAATGAGCATTGGTTTCAACTTAAAGTCACCAGTTGCCTTAGTCCCTCACAAGAGAGTCAGCCTGTCCTTTGAAGCCAGACACTGATTTATCTTTTCTAGCTGTAAAATTCCTAGATGGCATCTTCTTCCAATAGGAAGATATTTTTCTACATTGGAAATCAGTTGTTTAGTGTGTTTAGTTTCATCGATGGTCTCAGCTCGATCTTCGGGGGAACTTGCTGCAACTTCTACATCAGCACTTGCTGCCACACCTTGCACTTTTATGTCATGGAGATGGCTTCCTTCCTTAAACCTCATGAACTAACTTTTACTAGCTTCAAAGTTTTCTTCTGCAGTTTTCTCACCTTTCTCAGCCTTCATAGAATTGAATAGCTTTAGAGCCTTGCTCTGGATTACGCTGTGGCTTGAGGGAATGTTGTGGCTGGTTTGATTTTCTATCCAGACCACTCAAACGTTCTCCACATCAACAGTAAAGCTGTTTGCTTTCTTATAATTCATGTGTTCACTGGAGTAGCGCTTTTATTTCTTCAAGACTTTTTTTTTCTTTTTTCATTCACAACTTGGCTAACTGGTGCAAGAGGCCTGTCTTGGCTTCCACATGCCTTCCTCACTAATCTTAGTCATTTCCAGCCTTTGATTTAAAGTGAGAGAGATGCAAGTCTTTGCTTCACTTGAACTCTTACAGACCATTATAGGGTTATTAATTGGCCTAATTTCAATATTGTTATGTGCCAGGGAATAGAGAGGCCAAAAAAGAGGGAGAGACATGGGAAAGTTGATGGTTGGCAGAGCAGTGAGAACACACAACATTCATCAGTTAAGTTTACTGTCTTATATGGATACAGTTTATAGAGCCCCAAAACAATTTCAATAGTAAGACCAAGATCACTGATCACAGATCACCATGTATAATAATAATAACAAAGACATTTGAAATATTGCAAGAATTATCAAATGTGACACAGAAACACAAAGTGAGCACATGCCTGTTGGAAAAATGGCACCAACAGGTTTGCTTGAGGCAAGGTTGGTACAAAGCTTTAATTTATAAGCTGGAATTTCTGCAAAGAACAATACAATTAGGTCTCCCTCTACAATGAAAGTAGCATCTCAAATGCCTGGGGCAAAGATTTAAAAAAAAAATAACTGGTTCTTTGTCAACTGGATGGCCATTCAGAAAAAAATACAAATTTAGATCAATACCTAACACTCGACCCAATAGGGTTGAAATGGATCAGGAATCTAAGTGTAAAAATAACATCATAAAAACAATAGAAGGAAACACAAGTGAATTCCTCTGTTGCCTAAGTATAAGAATTCCTTTGTTACCTAACTATACATCGCAATGCAGATGCAATGAAAAAAATATGAATATATTTAACTAAAATAAAAGAGAAAAAAACAGTAAAAATAAATAAAAAATTTGCATGAGAAAATGGCTTCAGAGTTTTTTTGTTTTTTTTTTTATGGGGAAGTCAAAGATAAATGATAAACTAGAAGAAAACCTTTGCAATATATATCATAAACAAAGGAATAAAATCACTGATACACAAAGAAAATCATAAGAATAAGCCATAACTCCACGGCCATAATATAAAGGAGAATATAAACTCCTAAGCAAATGAGTAGTCCTTTGCATAGCCCATTCCCTCCTGATTCATTTCAGTGTAGGTTCGGCTTTTATCATTTCATCCATAAACAACCCAGCAGGGTCTCTCTATTCATCGGAGCCTCCCAGATGTGTCTGAATCCCCTTTATGCCCAATCTGCCACTCGATAAACATGCAACAGGAACAGGCCCATCCAAACAAGAATGGGAGATTTTTATAGCAGGTACCTGGAGTGTGGATTTTGGGTGGGCAATTGGGGGACTGATGTGCCTTTGAAGTAGCCAACCGATGGCTCAGATTTACTGATAACATCTTTTTAGAATCATTTTTTAAAGTGAGAGATATTATGGAATCATGTTTTAAAACATTAACTCTGGCACCAACCTCTTTGGGTCCATCTAAATCATCTAGGTGTGTGACTTGAAGCAAATTATTTAAGCTAAATCACAGTGTCTTTATCTATAAAGAGGGGAAAAACAATAGTAGTTACCTCCCAGGGGTGTTTGTGTGTAAAGTAATTTTAATCGATGTAAAGCCTTTGGAATATTACGTAGTAAAAAGCAAGCACGCAATTATTGTGAGCTGTTATTACTATTGATGAGTATTTTTTTACATTATTATAAACTTTTAAAACAGTGTGTATTAGCTGTAAAATATTAGAAATAATTTAAATTTTTGTCCAAAATAGCTGATTATCACAAATGCTTGCTTATTTATTTATGCATTTTTAGTCTGTAAGTAATGATGAAAATACTACTGGGTGTTCAACCCATACATGTCTAAAATGACCTCCTTGAGAACAGGGACTGGGCATTAGTCATTTTCATTTTCCCGTTCCTAGCGTTGCACAGAGTTGAAAAAATAGCACACACTCTAGAAGAGTATGAAAATAAATGAACCCACTCTAGTTTACTATTAAAAAAAAACTGTTAGATAAAATTGGGCTCAATAAACATGAATACATCTCAGATTACAATTGTACAGTGAGGTTATGATGTGGCTGCTAACACCCTCTACTTAGGGATGTCTGTGCCTAGCAGCCAACAGTAACGAAGGCATTTAACTCTGTCCCGGTCTTTCATGTATCTCCCAACCCCCAGCTCCCACACCTTTGGTCTCTGTTTTAATTCTGGGTCATCCTGCAAATGCCCATTGTGTATTGTATTTTTCCATTTTCTGAACGAGCCTCACTATAAAGGTTCTTACATTAGAAATTCATAAACTTTGCAGAGAAGTCTTGATCCTTCTAAATGCAGTTACCCTATAAGCACTAAGACTTTGTCAGTTAGACATTATTTCTATACCTTAATCAGTCTAGTTACTAATCTGTAAATACGAGCTTTTGGCTGTGCAAAGTCCCATGGTTTGCTCTTCCTCCTTATTGTCCCTCCAGATGCCTATGAATGTCATTGTTAGGATGGCTCCCCGTAGGACACCTCACATGCAGAAAAACAAACAAGCAAAGAAAACTTCTTTGTGGATTATTTTTCTACATTTACAAATTGAGAAAAGCAGAAAAAAATGGGCCGGCATCAAGACATGCCTCAATATTAATATGCTGGTATATTTATTTATTTTTCTGTAAGTATTTTTTTACAAAATCCAGATTCATGTAAGACAACATTTTTCAAAATATTCATAGAGAATATGTGTTTAATGACAGCATATTATTCTACCTACTAAATATGTTACAATTAATTTCATCATTCCTTTGGCAACAGCATAGATATTGTTTACAACTTTTTCTGTTTTAAATGCACTCATTAAAGGTTTTGCATATGCATTTTTGCATTGTTTATCTGAGTTGTTCCTCAGGGAAAATACATTGTGAACACTTCAAAGGGTTTTAAGACACAGCCCAAACTGCCCTCTTGGAAATTCTGAATGTTTAGTAACCCACCACCACCCTGGCAGTTTCAAGGTGAGTGTCCATTGAATTAAAACCTTGTCAACATTGGTATGGTGATTTGTTTAAACCCCAGCCTGTGTTACTGGTAAGTAGAGAAAATGCATGGGGGTAGCTGCCATTTGCTTATTGAATTGAGGTTTTCTGCCTGTGACAAAGGTTGTTTGTGTCACTTCTCTGTGGATTGCCTGTTCATGTCTTTTAATCACTTTGCTATTTAACTTTTTTATCTTAATGATTGGTAGTAGCTTTTTAAAACTATGTAAATAGTAACCCTTTATCTATCTTATCCATGAAAATGTGTTGTACTTTTTCTGTTCTTAAACTTTAGATTTTACTTACAGTGTTGATGACCACTTTGCAGTTGATGGTAGTCACATGTGTGTGTCTTCCTTGCTTGTGTAGTCTGTCTACGTTGCTTGCACATTTAGTATATGTTTCCCTAAGTAACTGCACCTCAAATACTTTCATCTTTATCTGTATAATATCATTTTTCACCTGCAATCTTTAATCTGCAAGGACATTATTTTACATTGATGTAAATATTAGTACACAAATGTAAACCGTAAAGGTAAAAACAACATGAAGTCATGATTTAACTTTACTTTTTATTCCCAATAGATAACAAATTGATCAGAAATAGTTATTGAACCATCATTCCTTTCTCCATTGATTTGCAATACTAATTAGTTTATGGATACCTTGTTTATATCAAATGAGACCAGACTTTGGGGATTGTATATTTCCTCTTGATTGATGTGTTTGTCTTTTTGTTATTACCGGTATTATTATACTGCTTTATATACTGGAGTTTTGCATTACTTTTCACACGGTTTCTTGTGAAAACAATTAAAATTAATGCATTTGTTGTAGAAAACGTAGAAAATATAGAGGCAAAATAAAGAAAGTAAAAACCACCCAAAGCCTTGCCACAAGAAAGAATCATATATATTCCTTTGGTTTACTTAGGCACTGATTTTCTTTTAAGTTGGGCCAGACTACACGGACTCTGCGCTTTCTCAGAGCCCCTCCTGGCTTCTGCTCTCCTTCTCCTCACCCGCTTTTTCTCCTTCCCCAGACTCCCCTCCCTACCCCACTTCCCATCCCAGGTGTGGCCTGAAATTGGTCAGGTCTTGGTGAAGCAATGCCCCAGCTTGCAGCTGCCACTAGCCCTGCTATCCCCTCTGTTTCAGGCACGTTCTATCCCTCCTCCTTACCTCCCTCCCTCCCTCAGAAGGAGCTCCCAGAATTCTTATTTTTAACTTCCTGTGCTCGGTGGAGGAAATTCTGTCTTAGGCTAGATTCAGTTTGGCCAAAGTGGACACTGGATCATTGCTCACCTTATAAAGTGAAAAAGATTTTTCTCACCTTATAAAGTGGTCAACTCCTAGACCCCTTAGCTTTCCAAAGCTACAGAAGAATTGTAAAATGGGGCATGAAACTTAATTGTAATTTTTTTTTAGTATGAAGGGTGCTAAGATACATGAGCTTATATAAACAAAAGAACATCAAGAGTTGAACAGTGGGGAAATTACTGTAACTCTTGTAAAGACACCTTTGTAAGTGAAAGCATTCCTGTCAGGAGGTGCATAGCTCTGAAAGGTCAGGAAGCTCATTTTCTTCTAGTCTCAGGCAGTAAAAGAGATACAAGTATAGCAAATCTAGTAAAGTGCCACAGTAATCTTTGCGTAAGTGTGTAGCAGCATAGCGCTTCAACTGCAATGATTTACTATTTATTGCGAAAGATGATAGTTTACATGATGTGTCAAGGACTGTGTCCAGAGTGAGAGATGAGGAACTGGGGGGCGGATGGGGAGAAAACACATTGAAACACATCAACTTTTGCAATGAGCCTACATGGCTAAAGAATGAAAGGGGTTACTCCTGTGACCACGGTGTGTACAATCACTGTGAGTTTAAAACTGTCTCAAAGGGAATACTACCGGGAGTGTTTAGGTCCACAGTTACAGTAAATGAAGATTCAGAATGAGCAGAACCATTTCACTTAATTAGAAATGTTAAATAAGTACTACGAATGTACATTAGTGTGTGTACTAAAACGAGAAAAATTGCTCACCCTGAAAAGCATTTTACTTATTTGCTTTTTTATTTGTTTACTTGTGTTATGTTTAGAAAACTATTAATATATCCCCCAACTAAAAGATAAAATAGGAGATGCATAATAATTGCAAATGCTTTTGTCTTTAGAATATATATGTGTATACACATATGCAAATCAATGCATATATCTGTGTATGTGTGTATATATGTTCACATATATGAATGTGTATATAAGTGTGTGTTTACATGTATGTGTGTGTATATGTGTGTCTGTGCATATGTGTGTGTATTGTGTGTATATGTGTATATATGGCATGTGCGTATGTGTATGCGTGTGTGCATAAGTGTGTGTCTGTATATATGTGTGTATGTATGTGTGTGTCTGCATATATGTGTGTATGTGTGTGTGTATATATGTGTGTTGTGTGTGTATCTGTGTGTATGTGTGTGTGTGTCTTTGGAGCTTAAGTACCCTGCGGGAATTAAAAGAAAAGATGGTTTTTACAGAGAGTGTTAAAGAGCTATTTTTCCTATATTTCTTTTCTTTGACATTATTTTTAAACTGTAATGTACTAATTCTAACAATTTGCAGTGATGATCAGAACACTCTGAGTTGGGGTTTGGTCAAGGGCTGACAGCATCCCTCATGAAATTTCCAGAAAGACTAAAGGAGAGGCTGGAAAGAGAAAAGAAGGGTGAAAGAGAGAGAGAGAGAAGCTGATGATAACAGTCTTCCCATGAGAGCTTTCAAAGGCAGCCATCAAGAGCATGGCTGCTGCCCTCATAATTCTGAACCTATAATGGGAGTGTTCGTAGATTCGCCTCTTGAGCATGTGAACTGGAATTTCTCAAATGAAGGGAGTAGCTCAGACACAGTTCTATTTTTAACGGCAAATACCATAATGTTTCTGAGACTGTATCACTGTGTTTTATGACCTCATCAAATCTGCTAAAGGAACAGAAATCAGCCCTGCCCTACATGTTCAACAGCATCGGCAGTCCTGAGTATCATCAAATAAGAAGCTTTGGGGCCACTGTTATTTAAATGGGTTTCGTTTAATTCTTTTATCGAGTTTATTTTCAGTTTTAGATATCACTGAAAAACATGGTAATCACAATTGATCGCATTGGGATCGGCTGCCGCATGATTTTGCTGTCATATCTTGATATGAGTTTAAAGCAGATGCCAAATAAACAAAATCTCTAAACAAAGCATTTCATCATCCCAATGCTCCATTAATAACAAAATTATCTTCTTCATCACTCAGGTCACATTTACTTTTCTTGGCTCAAAAATTTGATTAAATAGGTAATTGCAAGAATCAACATTTCAAATGCTCGCATGCATATCTATCTCCAAGTTCTTTGCAATAGCAGTTACAATTAGAAATCTTCATGATACAAGTGTTCTACCTGCAGTTACTGCAGAAGTCCTAAACCAATATGCTGTCTTCTAAATCAAGAGAATTATTTCCATATAAAGTATATCTATCATACACATAAAGAGATAGAAACTGAGCATAAAAGATAGAAGTTACCTATGCATAAAAATACTTAAAAGAAGAATTTCCATTTCAGTATTTAAAATGCATAGCCGGGCATTGTGGCTCACGCCTGTAATCCCAGCACTCTGGGAGGTTGAGGTGGGATCACCTGAGGTCAGGAGTTTGAGACCTGCCTGGCCAACATGGTAAAACCCCGTCTCTACTAAAAATAAAAAAATTAGCCAGGCGTGGTGGCAGGCACCTGTAATCAAGCTACTTGGGAGGCTGAGGCACGAGAATCACTTGAACCCAGGAGGTGGAGGCTGCAGTGAGCCGAAATCACACCACTGCACTCCAGCCTGGGCAACAGAGGGAGACTCCATCTCAAAAAAAAAAAAAGAAAAAAAGAAAAAAAAAGGGGGAAAGTGTCTTTCTCACCTTTAAGAATCTATAGGATGTTGAAGTTTTACTTTACTGCAAAAATTTTAAAAATGTGGATGTTTTTGGGGATAATTTGTTCTATAATGTTTACTATCTCAAAGCAAAAATAAAGACATTCACCTGATGCATGGCCTCACAAACTGGGACCCGTGATTGTGAGCAGGGTGAACAGGCTGAGGCCCACAAGCCAGTCTGGTTCTTCCCTGACTTTTCTAAGTGAAGTTTATCGGAGAATGGCTGCGCTCACCCACTGACATGGGGCCAGCGGCTGCTGTTGTTCTGCACAGGCGGGGTGAGTAGCTGCAGCAGAGACCACATGCCTGGCAAAGCCTGAAATATTTGAAACAGGCTGATTCCTGGCTTTGAGTGCAGATTATCAGGAAGACAGAGTTTCCACAATGCTGTCTTCTCTCAATGTGTTACCCAAGGGTAGCTCTTGGGGAAGGCTGTAGTCCAGAAATAAATGTTTCCTCAAGCACAAGAACATCAAAAATAAACTAGCTGCCAGTGATGGATCTCCCACTCAGCACCAGAGATATTACAAAGCATTTGCAAACACTCGTCGTTTTGGAGCAGGCAGGCCTGTGTTTTACATGCGAGAGTGAGGAGTGAGGCCCGGAGGTCAGGTCCTTGTCCTGGGTCTCCCGCCCACGAGCCTCAGATCTGGCTCTCATGCATTGGGCCATGACCAAACGTATTTATTCTCACATGCTTTAAGATACCAAAAAAACAAAACAAAATTATACTCCTTGATAAAATATGTATTCTAAATTTAATGAGAGGAAAATGAGGGCTTTAATTTTCTTCTTTTTGGGCAGTGTGCACACTGAGGCGGGCTTAGTCTGCTATCAAAATATGCAGCAGTGGGTTTATGTAGCTGAGAGGTCTGCTGAATTTTCACTCTTAACTAAGCATGCAAGATGAGTACCAAAATCATTACATTTATGTGTTTTTAATGGCTTGTCTGGGTTGTGTTTTGTCCACAGCTAGTGACGGAGCTGAGTGCCAGCCAAGTTTTTTAGAATTCACGCAGCTCCACTTCCACATCGTAATTTGACAAATACCGAGGGCTTCTGCCATTCCCCTGGTTATATTTCTGAGTCAATACACAGCAGTCAGCCGGCAGGGGATCTTCCCAGTCTCCTCCCATGGTAATGAGGCACCCACCTGGCCCAAGGAGCCTCCCACGCTGCAGGAGGGTGCACGTCGGGCGAAGACAGGGTGCTGCCTTTCACCTTAGAAGAGCTCTTTTGATAGACATGGTCTTCAAGGGAAGTGAAGTAAACCCCACCTCTGACAACTGTGGAGATTCTTGCGTTCCTTTGAGGGAAGCCCCCCGGCGGTGTTGCTAGACAGTACCCATTGTTTGTACCTGGCTATTATTTGTACTGAAGTTGTTAACAGAATCAACATATAGCCTGTGGTGTGGAAGTAGAGACACCCTTTGATATAGCAAAAGTTAAAACGGAATCAACCCTTAGGTTGGCAGAAGAGGGAATCCCAAACTTTCCATTTATATGAAAATGCACTTCTCCATCACAACCACCAGCCAACGGACCTCTGATCAGCTCTCTGATTTACATCTGAGTTTGTTAACCATGATGTTTTTGCTCTAAACACTTAAAATTTCAAATGCGATTTCGATGGAAATCCGAAGTTAGACAAGTTTGACTTGGTGATTTAAAACTATAAATCGCCTTATTTTTCTTTTAAAGAAGACAAGTTAAGAAAATATGAAGAATTTGGAAACACCATAGTAAATAAACTAAAATAAATATTTTGTGATTTTAGTACTGGTATACAATACAGTTTTTTACTAAACATATTTGATTTCTTTACTAGGTACACATATATTTGAAATTTCAATGTCAGTAATACAAAAACGTACTTCTAATTTTCTTAGGAAAAGACAAATTGCTGTTTTGAATATTTCACAGCTACATTGCAAAATACAAGTGACTGTAAATAAATCACATACAGGAAGACAGAGTATAGGCTATCCTGGGGGTAGGAAGAGTGTGATCTAATGTGCATTTGCTTTTCATCTACCATGAGTGGCTCCCACTCTTTGAGTTTGTCAGAAGAGCAAAGTAAACCAGGGAATGTTCTGGGATTGTGGCTGAACCACCCCAGAAATCTGGAGGGTTCTGATGAAAAGCAATCAGTGGAAAGGCAGACACCTTTTTTAAAATAATGGGGTCAATGGCTCTTATTTGTGAAAACAATTTATAGAAAGGGAACAAATGATACACAAGTTACGCAAAAAATATGTCACAGCCCATGATTGTACACATCACACCAAGATGAGCTCCCCAGGCAGAGAGCACACAGAGCCCCGTGTCCCTGACGGAAAGCCAGTGAGATCCAAAGGGCAGCTTTGGGAACAGTATTAAGCTTCGGTAGCCTGAAAAGTAATTGACAGAACTGTTATTATAGAATTAGTGGGACAAGAAATGAGTCTTCTATAGCACTATCACAAAAATATTGTTACGTATAAAAATTTATTGGTGCATGCTTAAAAATTAGTTCAACTTTCCCTCAGATTCAAAATAGTTCAGTATAAAGGAAAAAGAACTTCCAATAATTAAAAAATATATTTATGACAATCACTATAGACTAAGTGGTTTTTATTTTTCTTTACAATATTTACTATAAATGTATAAATATTTATGGTAATTGTACTCTTTGCTTATATGTGTGTGTGCAATAAGCAATAAACCTAGTGTTAAAACTTTAGTTCTGTTAACATTTTTTGAGAAATTTTTCAACAGTTAAAAAAAGAATATTCTGTTTGAAGCATCTTAATCGGTGACGACACTCAAATAGTTGTCATGGCTTTGAAATTTAAAAAATCAGTTTCAATATTTTCTTTGTTTCTTTCTTTCTTTTTCTTTCTTTCTTCTTTCTTTCATATCATTTGCGAGGTACAGAGCTTGGATATTTGGGTATTTTTATGTTGATCATGTGTTTTAAACTACTGGGGAAAACCTGTAAAACATTACTTGTTAATTTCTATGGACAGAAAAGGGCTATATATATTATATTATATTATTATATTATATTATATTATATTATATATATATATTTCAAACATGAACGGATACTTAAACCAGTAGAAATAAATGTTTAAATCAGAAGACTTTTGTTACCTGCCGTTTTGTTTTCTAAGATAGTTTTTATAGGTGCTGGGCACATTTTGATGGCTGCTTTTCATTAGCAGTCTCTAGATGCCTAATTTCCTCTTCATTTTTCCCCAAGATACTGCACAGGGCTTCTGCAAATACAATTGTTATTGGACTTAAAGGGTGATCTTTGCCTTTTCACTGGAAAACAGCCATTTGAGGTTACGTGACCCATGCAATATATTGCACCTTCAAGCGCCCCAACTCTCTCTTCGCCCTGATATTTTCAGATCCTGAAAGCATGTGTCTAGTGCGCGGTGGTCCCAGGCCACTGCTGCAGACACTGTGGCCCCATGGCCCGCGGGGAGGAAGGGGCTGCGCGGCCCACAGCCCGAGCCTCCCCTCTACCCTCTCCAGCTGAGCCCCGAGGAGGCCGCTGCTCCGTGTCCTGGACTCTGAGCAAAGCCGCGGGCCTTAGACCCTCCCCAGCCTCAGGCGAGCCCCAGTGCCGACACCTGCTAAGAGACGGTGCATTGCGGGCTAAACCCGCAGACACTGAGCGGGGACGCCACTTCCGACGGCGTAAGGCACCTAAAGTAGCCACAGAGGAAACTGGGGGTGCAGGAGCTGCAGGAGCCCCGGCGGCCTGCAGGGGCGGTGGCGCGGCGCTGGGCGCGCGGCCGCTAGATGGCAGCGCAGCCCCGGCCCGGCCCGCGGGAGGCGGCCACGCGCGGGGGACGCGGGGCGCGGCGCGCTGAGCGCGGGTGCCGAGGCTGGAGGGCGCGGCCGGGCTCCCGAGTCCTCCCTCCGCGGCATCCTTGTCTCCACCCTCAAATGTCCTGCAAGCCAGGAGCCTCCGTAGGAACCGCTGCATTTTTATTTTCCTCTAAATTTCACACAGGTGAAGCCTGTGTTTGAATCACTGAGAGGAGATTCAAATGAGGTTCCTGACGGGGTAGCTGCTCCAAAGAATACCAGTTTCCTCTGCGAGGAGAATCGCGCCCCTTGGCAGGAAGCCACAGCCCGGCCCTGGGACCCGGGTTCCAGGTGCAGACGGCGCTGGCTGGGGTGCGGGATTTCGGAGTCAGATTTTTACTGGGAGCCTGACTGCTTGTTGTTGTCTTGATCTATTTCTGAACAATGTCCAGATAAAAGACACTGTACTTAAAATAATTTGAGAAACTTGAACTATATATTGCACTATTTTTTTTTCTCTCAGAGCATAAATAGGTGTATGGTTCTCTCTCTCTATATATATATACATATGTATATACACACACATGTATAAACACATATGTATTTCTTTAAATTATGTCTATAATTTAAATATATAGTATATGAACAATATATAATATATATCTTATATATTATAAAAAATCTAACTACAAATCTTCCCACTCAAAGTCATTAAAGCATTGTATATAGATATAATTTAAAGACATTGATTGATATTTTCTTAGTAGCATTAAATATGTGCCCTTTGAAGGCTTTTTTTTTTTAATTGCCAAAATGTCATCAGTCTCATTCCAAGGTTGCAAACACTCACTGCTCATAATTGTTTGAAAAGTAGGCTGGGCGCGGTGGCTCACACCTGTAATCCCACCACTTTGGGAGGTTGAGGTGGGCAGATCACTTGAGGTCAGGAGTTCGAGAAAAGCCTGGCCAACATGGTGTGAAACACATCTCTACTGAAAATACAAAAATTAGCCAGGTGTGGGGGCGTGTGCCTGTAATCCCAATTACTTGGGAGGCTGAGCAGGAGAATCGCTTGAGCCCTGGAGGCGGAGCTTGCAGTGAGCGAGATCACGCCACTCCACTCCAGCCCAGGCAACAGAGCAAGACTCTGTCTCAAAAAACAAACAAACAAAAAAACAAACAACAACAGAAAAACGCCAATATCATTACAAATCCTCATCACATAGTAAATAAGACATGGTAAATAGTAGACTTTATACTGTGTACAATTTTAATTTATGCAAAATATAAAGTTGTCCATTACCGTGATTTTGATCCAAGGCCTTCAAACACTCTCATTATTAGTAGCGTCTGTTAGACTTCACACTGTTTTCTGCTGCATGCTGTCTAGGCCTCACAAGTGGTTTTAACGCAGGAAAACTGTTGCTAGAAGTGCTAACTGATTCTTTTAGAGCTTTGATTAGAGCAATTATATTAAATTGAAAAAGTATGCTCTCTTCAATGAGTTATTTAAAAATATAAGATAGCCTCCTTGGTCCTAATCTTCACAGGAATGAAACATGCGTGTAGAATACCTGTGAGCTGAAACATTGATCATGGGAGTGACACCCCTTGTTTCAATTCTCCACTGCTGTGCGTGTTTCATGCCCCAAGATCCTCGAAACAAAAATGATCTTACCTGGTTCTGCCTTATGTAAAGCAAAATATAAATACCTTGATGTGTACATCCAGATATGTACACCTATGGCCTATGCATTCCTCATGTCTTGTCAAGTATCTTTTTGGAATTATTTAGTTAAAATACAAAATAACACAATTCTTTCATATTTCATTTTTTCAAAAATAAATTCTTCTTCAAAAATTTTGTTCTGGAGTCGTGTTCTGAGTAATGTTATTGCTTAAAGCTTGAATAGTGCTAATTACCAAAACCAAACAGAATGCTACTAAGGTATAAATTATGAAGGATCTTTATGGCTTTTGCAAATACAGTTGTTATTGGACTTAAAGGGTGATCTTTGCCTTTTCACCGGAACACAGCCATTTGGGTTTACATAACACAAATATTTTCAACAAGCTATATGCAGTTTGTAGGCCCTGGGTCCATAGACACATTATCTGGACACCAGTTGGGGGTTTGTGTGGAATAGTGGATACACTCCTACCATGAGGCAGCCTGCAGAGCACTTTGGGCCTGCCTGGGGTCGACACCTGAGTCATTTTCTGAGGCCATGCAATTGGTGAATACAAGGACATTGAGGGTTTCAAAGACTGATTGCTTAACCTTTGCTAATGTTTCCTCCTGACCACTGTGATTCTTGCAAAGCTCCCTTCGCAAAGCTGAGCTGAGACCTGGGTGTTGGCGGAAGGTCAGTGGGACCTCTTCTGTGGGCAGCAGGAACCCTGATACTCCCTATCCTTCACAACCACCACTGTCACTCACCTCTACCTGTCAATCATTGCTGACTGATAATTGTCTCACAATGTATTAAATCCATGATTATTTATGGAAAAAACAACAAATGTTTATAGTGTCATTCACAGTAGGCTGCCTTTACAATTCAACCTGAGGCAGTCCAGTGGTCATAGCATTTGGTCTTTCCACACCTGTACCAGAGGTGGCAGCTACACAGAGATTTTCAGTGTCCTCAATTCTATCCCTCCTGCCTATGGATGATGTGAAGGTCATGAACATTCGGCTCTGGAACAGCAGAGAATAATGCTAGGCAGGGATCCTTCCAGTGGCCACAGCAGGAGCACACTCAGACAGAAACTGCTGATTTCTGGCCTTTCCAAACAGTCAGGTGCTCACACTCAGCAAATGCAATGATCATTTCTACCGAACAATAAGCTGTACTGCTGAATATTATTTTTTTCTAATGACTCATTATCCTGGAATGATGAGGAGATGAGTAGAATATAAGTGTATTAAAAACATAATTGTTTTTCTATTCAAACAGAAGCGCGCCATGCTTCTGTTTCGCATGCGGGAAAACGCCTAATGAATAGGAGAATCTTTGCACCTTTCAGTTTGCGGCAGTGCTGGCCCCTAAATGCGTCTTTAAAATCCTAATTGCTTTTAATTCCATCCGTTACCTGATGATTTCTTTGGCCGGAGCACGTGCTTTACTGTCTATCCTACTCTGCTTTTTCCAGCAGTATTGCTTCCAAGTGCCATGCAGTTACACACAGTTATTTATGACATCTTTATCAACGTAGATATGGGCATTGATATAAATAGTTTGCAAATATTGAGGGAAAAAATAGCTTAACAGTGTGTTAAACTGGGCAAATTCTATGTACCAATGATACATACACATATACATGGATATACACACATATATATATTTATATGTGTATACCATGAGTACATAGTGTGTATATACACGTATCTATACATAATACATATATAATAGTATACATACATTACCTATATATAAGTTTAAAAACCATGTATATATATAAAAGTTCAGTAATGCTCAATTTTAATTGAGTACACAAATGTTATCTATGTAAGTTATTAACACCCATAAAGTTAGAGTGAGCACACACACCTGCCTGCTTGTATTCTCCAAGCACATCACCGGGAAGCAGTAATTTCCTAGGATTACAGAGGCACCCAGGTAAGACCACCAGAGCCGCGAACAGTGGGGAGGTCCTCCATGTGCGCAGACATCTCATCGCTGGTGTTATTCTGCATAGTAGGGTTCCCAAGGACTGGCATTTCTCTCTAAACTGAATTTAAATAAACTTTATCTGGTGTTTACAAACAGGGCTACTGTTTGTAAACACCAAGCTTGTTCATTTGCTCCTGGGTATCTGATAATCCCACTGGTGCAGATGTGCATCTTTCCCCAAACTCCTACCTTACCCACAGTACCCACAGCTTTTTACCTTTGTTTATTGCATCTGCCTCTGTCCTGGTCAGCACTATGTGCCATTGTTCCAGCAGGCATTCCAGCGAAATCAGGTCCTTCATTTCTTGGCTTGATCGTTTCAGACCAGGCCACGCCTGTTCCTGAGCTGCCGCTATGAAGCATAGCTGATTTCAAGTACTATTAAAATTAGAAATAGCACAAGATCCGTGCACAATTCATTTAACTCATTTATTCATTCCATCTTAAATACATCTATAACTAAATACATACCCACTAAGTCCCTTTACCTACATCTATTTCAATTTGATGCTTTAGCACCCTTCTTTGAATTCCTGATATTTTGAGAAAGCAAGGAATAATTGATAAAGTTTAGAAGTGATTCTAGGATCTGCGAGATTCTCTTAGGTCATGTAAATTCTGAATGCTCATGGATGAGTTTAAGGGAAACATCGGGTCTAGAAAGCTGTTCTGAGCACAGAATAGACAGGGTTAATCCCTTCAGCCCTCATCTGAAAGAAGTGACAATGAGAAAGATAATAGTTATACAGTGAAACATCATTATATAATTACTGCATCTAATGTTTCCCTGCGTATGATGTTCAAGTTCAGAAATCTCAGCCAGGGGCCCATAAAACAATTCTTGCGTTTTATGTTTTTCTGCTTATGCTGTTTTATTTCACTCTTTTGGGAAAAAATGTAAAAATAATTTACTGAAGTGATAATTAGCGCTTATAAAGCACTTTGTAACCTGTGACACTCTGCAAATTGCTACCAGAGGATGGTTATAGTTGTCTAAACACTTTAGTGCACAGGGAAACTGAGGGAGACACTTACTTTGTAGGCTGAAAGTTCCTTGAGGGCAAGGACTATATTGTAGTGAAATTTGTAGACCTCATTAGACCTAACACGGCCATGGAGGAAGCTCCATAGGAAATGCTAGTGGATTCAAACTGACAGGGAGGTGGCCCACCAGCCAGGGCCTTGCTCTGCAGTGTGAGGGTGCGCAGAACGCAGGGGGCCGGGGCGCCTCCCAGCCTGCGCAATGGTCTTGATGGGTGGCCCTTGGGATCACTGGGATGCTGGCTCTCACACCGGCCCCCGAGGGGGGCTCCCCATTTTCCAGATAAGAAAATCAACGCCCAGCAAAATCGAGCAAGTTGTGCCACATCGCACAGTGGGAACGGGCAGGATGTTCAAACTGCAAATTTTCTTTGCCCCCTGCCTGCAGAAACACCGCATGGGAATTGTTCTTAACCCCCAAGGGCCGCCTCTTCCACCTGCTCTGGGTGCATTGGTGTGGGGCCGCCTTGCAGAGGCCACGGACGCCTGGATGGACAGGTGGAAGGTGGAAGGGGAGGGAAGGGGGAGGACGTCCTTGTCTCCTGCCTTCTCCATCTCCACCCTGCGCGTGGCTTCTGCTCTCTGGCGTGAACCCTGCCAGGGGGTTCTGCCTCGGCGTTGTGGGGTCGGGGGTTCACCCTCACGCCTTGCTCCTCGCCCCTCACACCACCCATGGCCAGCCAGGACCAGGGGCATCCACACTCGGCCTGGCCTCGGCAAAGGCTGGGGGACCTCCCTTCCACGGCCTCGCGTCCACGCAGGATCAGCCTCCCCTGCAGGGCCTTCTCCCCGCGCCCCTGTCGCCGTCTGGAACCTCAGGCTGGCTGGGCGGGTCTCTGTCACAAACCACCTGCTCGCTGCTGCCCAGCGCCGCCTGGGCACTCCTGAGACCGGGCAGGCCTCACCCGAGGGCCTGAGCTGCACCCACGCCTCCGGGAGTCCAGGTGCCACGGGCGGGAGCTGGGGCAAAACTTGGGATGTGAGCAGGGTTTGCTTTGGTTCTGGCAAGTAGGTATGTGCATGACACACGCACCTGTGCGTGCCCGCGCCTGAGCATAACGGCAGAACGCTGCTTTTGATGAACATTTCCCTCCCTGAGCAGCTAACTGCCTGTAAGTGTGTTTCGATCAGATTCAGTGAATATTCTTGGGAAATCCCCCCCCGCATACACACACACACACACACAGGCACACACACAAATGCACACACACAGGCACATGCACGCACACACATACACGCACACAAGGCATACACACACTAATGCGCACACAAACACAGAAGCGCGCACACACACAGAACACACACACAGGCACGCACAAACACAGGCACCCGCACACTCACAGGCACCCGCACACTCTTGGATTCATCCAGCTTCAGCCTCCTCCCTGCGTAGGAGCGACCTTAGCGTGGACATTTGGTGACTCTCCCGGGCGTATTCTGCTTGCTGAGCCCTGTTAACGCCCATCCCAGTGGGAAGCTCTTAGCATGCATTTCATTCTAGTTCCTGTTTTTCAAGTAAATCACGCTCAGATTTACTGGCTATGGCTTTCTCACAATTTATGTGTCTTCTTCTCCTTTTTAATGTTCGCAGTACACTTCAGAACGCAATGGATCGTTTTCCCCAGAGTCAGGTCCATCCTGGGCAGAAGGTTAGACGTTTATGGAGTGGTATCAGCAGCGGAAGAGCCTTTCAGAGGCCGCTGTGTGCTTCTGGGTGGAGCCATCGTGCTTGTGCTGTAAATCCAGGTTCAGACACCTTGAAAGATGCCACATCCGAGACACCATCAACACTGCATGGGGGAATTTTAGGGTTTTGTGTAACATGACGTAAGTGTTTTGACTTGGGGCACTTAGTCCCCGTGAGAGTTCCCACATAGGTGGGCAGCTGAGATTGCAGCGCTGTCCGGGGCATACGGTGTCTCTGCCCTCACTGACCTCTGGTCGGACATTCTGGCTATCAAGCTCTGGGATGAGCACAGCGTCTTACAATAAATATTTGCAGAAATAGATGGGGAATGCAATTCTCTCTTATTCTGTATGCACAAAATAGCAACCATTTAACTGTTAACTCTGTTTTAATAGTGCCTTGAGATGAATTTAAGAAAAATACACTTCAAATGTAACATCACTGTCATACATAATGGATAATGATGGTGCTTCATTTGTGCTGAGATATATTAGAGTAGTTAGGACAAAAGTGCACTGGAAATGCCAGGCGGAGCCTTTCTGTTTGCACACATTTATCTCTATACATATTTATATATTTTCAAATTGTGTGATACTCTGGGAATGAGAGAATCATGTTTTCTGAGTTATAAAACATTTCCATTTATTTAAAATATAAAGAGAATTTGGTAATAGCACGCTAAGAAAGTTAACCTTTATCTTCTGCCTCATTTTAAAAACATAAAAAATTATTATATTTCAATGTCAAATGAATTTACTGTCATTATAAAGTAAAAATTGTTATTACATTCCTATAACTATTTTAGCAGTGATATGTGTGGACTCAGTACCTCCATGTTTTGTTAAGTTATATATACAGATATCATTATATAGAGATAAATATATGCATATATATGTGAATTGTATAATGGAATACATGTTATTTGTTTATAATTTACTTTTACCAAACTGTAAAAATAAAAATATGTGTAGTGAAAAATCGATACAATCCTAAAATAAGAGATTTTAAAAAGTAATCAAGGGCTTTAGATATTGTAATTTTTCAGAGCTCAAGGAAGATATTTTAAATCTGTTTGGAATGTATTTAAATCATAGATTATATTGGCCTTTTAATTTGCTTATCTGACTTCAGGACTTCCATCAGCAGAGCACACTTTGGGTTTCACCAGTGGTTGTTGGAGGAGAGCTGTGCCCACACTGGGTGTAATAGCCCTGGAGTGGGGACGGAGCAGGTGCCCTCCCGGGCATGTGCAGCGGCACCTGTGTGGGAGGGTGGCCTCCCTGAGCACAGGATGTCCTCCAGGTCACCCCCATGAGAAAATGATGAGCCGAGGAGAACCATGTACAGCTTAGCTCCACGTTCAGCTGCTAGAGACTCAAGTTCAGAGTCTTACTGCGTGACAGAGGGGAAAGGCATCTTTAGTCGCTTCTCTCCATCTCTGCTGTTCTTGATTCACAGTCTGTGATGTGACCGATAGAACATCTGACCAACAGGGACACCAGTGTCATGAGGGTGCTCTGTCACCTGGGGAGACCCACCCCCAGAACCTTCACCTGGGCAAAGACAAGGTGAATCCTACGACGGCTTTCACCTGTGTGCTTATAGCCTCCTGTCAGAGAAAAGCTAGGCCTCACACTGAAAACATGCATGGGAGCTTAGGGTAAGATGAATGGGAACATCTGAAGGGAAAATATCTCCATGAAAACAGCTTGCGTTTCTTTTATTCTACAGATTAGAAACACTGAAGTCGCTCTCACCCTGAAGGAGTCCTTGATAGAGAAGACAGAACAAGTAAGGGACAGGAGAGGCTGCTTTATGCCAAGTGCGGCTGGACGGGAGCCCCTTTGAAAGGATTTTAGGATTTCTCTGGGTTTTGCTCTTCCGGATGATATTAAGAGCCAAGTTCAAGGCAGCCTCCATGCAGCACATGAGGCAGTATCATGACCCAGCCAACACCTCGGAGGTTCACACCAGCTATTTTATTCCTTGTAATGACGCTGAATGACCCAGTATCTTGTAAAATGAAATTGAAATCTGCAGCGAGGCAGTACTTCTGCTATTAAAATGATTTTTTCTTTGTAATGGAGCACTGCCAGTCCAACCATTTGTGAATTGCAATTAAAATCTGAAGCCGGCAGCACTTTTGCAATTAAAACTGGCATATTTTTTTTTAAAAAAAATTCTGCACCAATCTAGATAATTAGACAGGAACTAAAATACTCGTTTATTACGCATATGGACATGTATGAGGAAATAATTTGAAATTTATTATTCAAAATATTCTCTTTTTAACGAGGATTATGCTAAATGCTGTGCCAAAACAGATTGTTTTCATATTCCATACAATTGAACCTATTTGAGAGAATTGGTATTAGATGTTTACTCACCAGTTTGTTTATATTTTTCTTTATTTTTGTCATCTTTTTTTACATCCTTTGTTTTGGTCATAAATTATGACCGTGCTAAAGTTGTTAGAAGATCTAGGAAAAATGGCCAAAATCTTAGGACGTAATCACATGGGGATTTTCTTTGCTAATCATTTAAACACACTTTCTGAATCAGTTGGTAGCAGAGTTGTAAGTAGATTCTGCTGGTGACAATTTCAAGAAACATCAGAGTCATCTTCACTAAGTTGAATGTATGCTTCTCAAAATACCTTCTCAGAAAGTACCTCTGACAAAGAACCAGTAAAATCCTCACGATAAATTCTCTCTCTGATGATGTTTAACCTCCAGTCTGCAGGAAGAAATGTTTGAGACAATGCTGTTGGTCACATCTGAAGACCGTGATGAATCATAGAATGTTGTTTCTTGACTGATAATCCTCTTAAGGGTTTAGAAAATTTTCACTGAGAGTTCATATTCACCTCCACACTGTTGCATACATTTTGTTTATTCAATACTTGTATAAAAACCTGTAGTACCTTGATGTAAACTCTGTGTTTTTACACGGTAACTTCTCTTCATTGGATTCCCTCTTCAGGTGAAGTCATACTATAAATTATGATTTTTTTGGTGTCTGGCATTTGAAAGATAGTACAGAATCAGGAGGCTGGAAGCTGTGTCATTCAGTGGACCACAGAAAGAACCTAGGGCAAAGCTAGTTTTTTCTTTTTCTCATCAGAACGCATGATCTGCATTTTTTCCTCCAGTCTGAACATTCTTATGATCTAGTTTCTCTATCTTAAAAAATCTGGATTTGCACATTCTATTCCACAAATAAGTCGCTTGTCTTTGCCTTGGGGTCTCTGCCTCCTCACTTGTAAACAGGAGACGTTAGCCATGACCATCGCCAAGCTCTGCTCTCACTCCATGCTCTTGTGACTCCCTCTGGGCACGCGAAGATCTCGCCTGTCATAGTATCCGGGGACACTTCCTGAGACCATGAGCCAGTGGAGACTCCTAAGTGAGACACAGCCCTCAGAGGTAGAATTTTATCTACTTTGTACATTTTCCAAAGAGGGAAAATATTTTAAAAGAGATGTTTCTAAATAACCCCATGTTAAACCATTTGGGCCACTGAGTTTATGGGTAGGTTTATCACTAGAGTGTAATTAGGACTAGAAAGATCGTGTGCTGAGGACCTGGATGGTAAGAAACACAAGTCCAAGAAGATGTGCGCAGAAAACAAAATGTCAACCGGCAGGCAATGAGGCCCCCGTAGCAGCCACCTGCGGTCAATAAACGTGTTACCCGACTCGCGGGGATTGGTAGAAATAAAAGTTTTAGAATTCAAAATGCCACTGTGAACCTGGTCGCTCATTGACCACCTGTTTAAAATATACCCGAGCTGTACAGGAGCAGGAGGCCCGTGCAATCCCAGCCCGGTTGTGCAACTCTGCAGTCATTCCACGTGCCGGCTTCCTCGTGTGAACAGAAAGCACCTCTTCTCGTTAGCCCGCCTTCTTGAGAGTGGCCTGGTACTACAGGCATTTTTTCACCTAGTTATCTTATCTTGCTCTGAATTTACAGAATTAGAAATACAAGGCATAATGGTTGGAACACTAACTCCCTGATTTACTAAATCTGTACCTTAAATTAAAATAAATAGATTTAACTCCCATTTCACGATTTTCACTTTTGCTATCCCAGGGACTTCTCCAGGTTTATATTTTCTTTAATTGAGCTATAACTCATGTATCACAGAATTTACCCATTCAATGTGTACAATTCGGTGTTTTTGATATATTCGCAGCTGTGCAGCCATTGCCACAATCTAATTCTAGGGAATTTCCATCTCCCCAAAATAAGCCCTTTTCCCAGTAGGCAGTCATCCCATCCCCGTCCCCCAGTCCAGCCCTCCACTAACCTGCTCGCTGTCACCGTGGAGCTGCGTATTCTGGACGTTTTGTGTAAATGAACTCGTAAGTGACTTTATGTCTGCCTTCCGATATGACTTCATTTTTCCCGGGTATCTAGTTTAATTTTCCTCACGATCCCTCTCTTCTCTGGATCTGCAGCCTCTCCTATGTGAGAAGCCAGCACAGTTGTCTTCTCTTACTGGTGTGAGTTTCCTCTAAGGACACAGCTTCACGAGCTCACCACACAGCAATGCTGCTTGCTGCTGTTCTGACAAACTCCGTCTTCCCTTTTTCCAACATTTTCCATGGAAACTTGCGTCGGCTCACTCTGGAAAGCAACATGCCTGTCTGTGGGCTGAGATACGGAGACCTCCCTGATCTATAAAGGATTTCTAGACCTCCGCAGCATCCCCTGGGCAAGCCAAGCCTGAGCGTCCCCAGAAAACCACTGGGGACCCTTCGGGGTCCATCAGGCCTTCGTGTAAAAGAGACGACCTATTCCATAAATAAGGTCCCATTCAAATATCTTCTTTGCAAATATATTAAAATTCCAGAGATCTATTAGAATATAAAGTACAGAGGAAGGAATATTTCTTCTCCAAACAGAAGAAAATAACATTTAAAGGGCGGGTATTTAGCACTGCTTTGGGTTTTTGGAGTGGGAGTAAGTGACCAGTATTTAAAACAAAGGCTTGTCTCTTAAGAAGAAGAACAGAATGATAAAGGAACCCCGCGTAGACAATAAATGCACGTCTGTTTACAGCTCTGGGCCTCGGCTCTTTCTGGGATGTTGACATTCGCACGTTCTGGAGTGACCCAGATGCACTCTACTCATCAAATTTCTATCAATACTAATTTACTAATATCAATAATCGTCCGTTTCCCAGTGGATCGGTGCTCCCAGGCAGGGGCGACGTGCTCCTTGCAGCTCCCTGAGCTCTTCAGCGTAGGTGTCAATAAAACTGACGGCTGCTCTCAAGCTATTGACAGTTATTAAAAATGACCTTGATGTAATTTCATGCCTATCAAAACAAAGAGCATATGCTGAGGATTATGAAAAGCTGCGGCGGAGGAAAGTGCTGACAGCCTGGAACCGATGGGCAGGATCGCTCCGCAGCTCTGACGAGTATTGGTTTTCTTGGCCTCTCCCCGCTTCCCTGGAATACTGTATGCTCCCGGGTGGGGGCACCTGCTCTCTGGAGGGCTTAATTGCAGCTATTTGAGGCCCTCCTGTGTTTTGCAAAGGGCTGCCGTAGCACACCATCTCGACAGTTAATGTGGTGTAAAATATCATAAGCGCCGCTGAAGACCTTTGAATCCATACGGCACGGCTGATCAATACGTCCTGGTGGACACCCTGCCTCCCAGTATACAGAGGGCAACATATCAAGAGCACTCTCCCAATTCTTCTCCCACTTTGTCAGGGCATTGATCTGGCCGGTGTGTAAAAGCCTGCTTTCCTCTCCAGCTGTGCACCGGGGCTCCGTGGCAGTTTCAATAGACAGCCCTTGTATGCAGAGTTGAAAAGCTACACAGTGTGAATATTCAGTAGCCAAATAGTTTATTAATAATTGTAAGTAACGCTCTGAAATGCCCCCGTCTCTCTGTATGCACAGAACAATTGTGTTGAGCAAACGCATAAAGGCAGTCTAAAACAAAGCAATTATTAAGAACATTAACTGCTTTAAGATGAACTAAACTGCATGTCTTTCTGTGGAGTGACCAAAATGTGGAACCGCTTTGTATACTTCTATCAAGTCCTATTAAGACACATTCCCATCATCTTGATGGGCTTTTTCATATAGCAGACGACAGGCTGCATACCATTAAGCTTTCATATTTAAAGACAACCTACTCTTTCCAAAATAAAACTGCCGCACCTCTGGCTTCAGCTAGTCAATGTCATTCTCTTCCTTTTTAATAGGTATCCCTAAAATTGTAAGGACTCTTCCAGGAATTTTCCTCACTTGTATCTAATAACAATTTGTTCTGCTTTAACTTCTTCAGTGGACAGCAGTGATGGTTTGGAGCAAATTCAGAACAGTTTTTTACCTTTGGGATTTATAATTGATTGAGACTAAAAAGCAAAACAAACAAAACAAAACAAATTCCATATCAGAAATGCACACTGCTGGTTGGTAACACCAACTGAGCATAGACTTTAGAAGTTTGTTTGTTATTTTCCTTCTTTTACTTTTGACAATTATCTGTCTTTATAAAATTGGAAATGTCTTCGGTTTTTATTATTTTATTGTTGATGAATTCCAAACGATTATTCCATATGTGTGTAGCTAGTTCACCTCTGTCAGCCAATTACATATTTTAAAGACCTCTAATAATTGAGCATGTAGAGTTGCGATTATCACGGAGTGAGACACGTAGGGCTAAAAAAACAGCTGTTGGTCTTTGCCTTTTAAAGTAGAGCGTGTGTGTGTGTGCATGTGAGTTTTGCTATAACTCAATGGTTTCAAAACTCTTTAATGGCATGTTACACGTAGAATTTTTTTTTTTTTGAGACAGAGTCTCTCTCTTGTTGCCCAGGCTGGAGTATGGTGGCACAATCTCGGCTCACTGCAACCTCCACCTCCCGGGTTCAAGCAATTCTCCTGCCTCAGCTCCCCTCTAGTAGCTGGGATTACACCCAGGTGTGCACCACCATGCCCGGCTAATTTTTGTATCTTTAGTAGAGACAGGGTTTCTCCATGTTGGCCAGGCTGGTCTCGAACTCCTGACCTCAGGTGATCCACCTGCCTCGGACTCCCAAAGTGCTGGGATTACGGGCATGAGCCACCAGACCCAGCCAGAAATTCTTAATACGAATTGTCAAATATGGCAATTATCAATTATCATACTATGAAATACCAAACACAATAGAAATGTTGGAACCTGTTTGAAGCCTTCCAGGTGCTGGGTGGGTGCTGGGCGGGTGCTGGGCGGGTGCTGGGTGGGTGCTGGGCGGGTGCTGGGCAGGTGCACCTGGCTGCTGGGGATTGGGGCATTGACCATTGTGTGCTCTGCTCTCATCAGCTAAGACCCCGGTGACTGTGGTCTTTACCTGTGCACCCCAGCGAAGCCACAGACTTCCACAGTCTGCAACCCCAGACCCACCTCCATAACAGCTTCATTTAGGGATGGTTGAAAAGCTTTGCCCTGAGTAACTCCAGAGAGTTGACAATGGCTGCTTGGTCAGGTGTTGAGGGACACTGGGAGACACAGCAGCCACAGGGGCCCAGTGTCAGTGAATTAATGGAATCTAATGATCTGTGGCTGCCAAAAAATATAGTGGCTTAAAATAGTGTCGATTATTATCCCTTGTGGTGTCTAAGAATAGAAAATGTAGGAATGCCTTCACTGTGCTGTCCTTGCAGAAGGTCTCTCATGCGGCTGGATGGTAGCAGGAGCAGACAGAGAGCTCTCAGGCACATGGGACCGGCCAGCCTCACTCTTTTCTTGAGGCCCTGATGCCTCTCAATGCGTCTACTCTGCATAGCTAATCTTGATTTTCTCGCAGCACGGAGGCTCAGGTGGGTGAGACCTCTCACCAACTCAGGCTCCGGCGCCAGCATTCCAGCAAACCAGGTAGAGCCTGCACTTGCCTTTGATGAGCTTGCCAGGGAAGTCACATCACGTATTTACACCATCTGCCAATGGCGGTCCAATGCCTACGTTCAGCCCATATTCAAGGGGAGGACACTCCCCAGCAGTTGATGGGCAGAGGGATGTCAAGAAACGTGTGGACTTCTTTTAAAAGCACCACACATGGAGAGGAGAAGTAGTGGTGGGTGCCATAGGTTCATCATTTCTGGCTGCGCTTCTGTTTAGTACAACCCACACGGGTCCTGATAATTATTTCTGTTGCCCACACAACAGGTGGGTTCGATAGCTTGGCGAGCGACAAGCCAGTCACCACAACCAAGGAGGCTTTAACAAGGGGATTGTATCACTTGTAACAAGTCAGGAGAACACCAGGGAGAGCTCCCAAAACAGCGCCTCCCGAACACGGTGACACAGGGCTTCTCCTGGGCTTGTGAGCTGAGTCACCACGTGCAGAGGTGGAGCGGAGGCAGGGGAGGCCATCACCGATCATGCCTCTTCATGCATCGAATGTGTAGAACATGGCAGAGAAGCTCTTCCCTGGGCCAGGTTTTTAGAATGGTAATGAGGGGAGTTCACCACAGTGATGAGGGGAGTTCACCACGATAGTGAGGGGAGTTCACCACGGCGACGAGGGGAGTTCACCACGGCAATGAGGGGAGTTTACCAATGTTCATCTCCAACTCAGGGGTCTCCTGATCCAATCGGTTTGTATTCTCCTAGGGCTGAGCTTCTTCCTGGAACTTTTCTGAAACAACAAAAACTCAAATGCAAGAGTTACAAGTCACCCGGAGACCTGGGTTTAGGTTTCTACTGAAGCACAGGAACCAGGACCACATCTTTACATTGGAGACTCTTGCCCCAATTTAATTCGTGGCAGGTGAACCAGACACTCTGTGTTTGGTGGGAAATGTTAATGACATTCTACCTAAAACCCCAACAGCAAGGCTGGCCTCCTTTTTTGCCCCTGCCCCACAGAATTCATCTGTCACCAATTTGAGACTTCCTGTAAATTCTTACATCCCCACTCTGAAAAACAGCAAGTGAAATGGGTGTCTTAGAAGCTGGGAAACAGCTTTTAAATAGAAATGGGCAAAATGAGGAAGGTGAACAAGTGAGCCAATTCTCCCCTGGATAAACGTGGCCTTCAGGACTGCACATCACGGGAAGAAGTGGCCCAGGCCTGTGGGTGTCTTTCACCACCAGAGGGTGAGGTCTGCCCAGGTGGGCTCAGCAGCCCTGGCATAGATGTCGAGGAAACCCAGAGGCCACAGAGCACAGGCTTACTAGCAAAGGCAGCTCCCCTCTCACCCCCTGAACCCCTTCAGCTACCGAGCGTGGATGAAGCCAACATTCTAGCTCTCACACAGTACCTTAGAGGAGGGAAAGGCAGATACAAAATAAAACCTGTTCTCAGATATAGTGGGGGGAAAGGTAATTGTAAAGTGCCATCAATGCTGCATGGAAGGAAGTAAAACCCCAGACAGAACATTCTATGCTTAAGCCACATGAAAAGGAATTTCATGACAGCAATATAAAAAAGTCTGCAGGTGAAAGGTCAGAAAAGAAAAATACACACAATGTTTACTTTATAAGAAAACACTAGATATAGCCTTGAGATTGGTTTATAGAAAAGCTTGATAAGAATGTGGATTCAAGAATCAATTAAAAATGATGCAGAAACACGTTGACAAAGCAAGAGAAAGAGATTAAAAGGAAACTTTTAAACTTATAGAAATAAATTGAATATTAAGGCCATCTAATTATAAAACAAACAAATACATTGCCAACAGGAACAGAGTAAACGTAACTACAATTAAATAGTTTCAATGAATGAAAACCAAAAATATAGAAATTAAAATCAAATAGTAAGGCAAATAGATAGGAGATAAAGAACATCTCACAAAAAGATAATCACTATTCTGAAACAGAGATACCAAATTGTCATTCAGAAAATATATTCAAAGATATGAGAAATTCTCTGAAGTTAATAAAGAACTGTCTCTACCTATCAGAAAATAGATCATTTTCCAAGAAATATCCACCACTTACAAAATGTATACTACAGAAGCACACCTTATTTTATGAACTGCAAGGATAAGGAAATCATTTTTAGGCATCCAGATAGAAAAAAAATCAAATTAACTACACGAGAAAATGTCAGGTTGATCTTAGAATTCTCTATCACCAAAGGAAAGGAAACAATATCTGCAAAGTTATGAGAAATGACAAGTTGAACTAAGAATATTACATTGAATCATAATGCCATTCAAATCTAAAAGCAACAGGTGTCTCTAAATATAAAAGGCCAGTGGAAGCTTATGTAATCTATCTCTTGGCATGAGGGAAATTATCTGTTGATGAAATCTAGTCATATCACCTAGAAATTGTGTTTGGCTGAAAATCCATGAGACCTAATGAACAGTGGGCTCAGCAAACAGAAGTCTAGAAATGGGCACCCGTCACATCTTGAAAAGACATTTATGGATCCGGGAGCCTTTGGTCTTTCTGCTCTTTCGTCCAAAGCACAGCATTACACTTGTTTAGTAATTGTTACCACATGATGCAAAGATGGAAAGAAGGGCATTTACTTCAGTTACCTAATACATCTCTCATTCTCTGACAACTCTCTCTCTCTCTAAACTTCTCTAATGTTTTCTTTTACCCCAGTCTCCCGCAGAAAATGGCCAAGCCTCAAACGTCATTTACATGGATGTCTCAGTAGCTTTTGACAAACTGAGTCTCCCCTCCTTGAAGCAATTTCTTCATTTGCTTTGGGGACCACTACTGTTCTCATGTTCCTCTCATCTCACAGGACACAGACTTACAGCCTTGGTCTGGCTCTTCCTCTTGTTCTGAAGTCCTACATGTTGAGGTGCCAAGTTTCTGTCCTCTGTCAAATACAAGCAATATGTCTCTGACTCCCAAATTGATGTCTGAGCCCTGACCTCTGCTCTGAATTCCGGACTCATTTAGACAACCGCCTGCCTCTCATCTCCATTCAAATATTGAATACTCACCTCAGACTTCATACACATGAAACGTTACTCTTGATTCTCCTCACACTGCACAAAAAAATTGTTTCTTCCTGTATTTGTAATATCTTAATTAATGTCACCATGATTCAATGATACTCTCATGCAGGCATGTTTAATGCTCTCTCAATCTATGACACATCCGATGTTGAATCCTCCCGGCTCTGTGTGAACAGTGTTACAAGCCTCCCCGCCTCTTCTCCCTGACCATCCCCGTGATCCTGGTCTACACAGCCGTTTACGTTGCAGCCCTGTGCCCACTTCCAAGCCCCCAGGGGCTTTCCGATACACCAGGAGAGTCCCCCACCTTCCATTACAAAGTGCCCAGCAGTCTGGGCACTGTTCTTGCTTCGGGCCCGTCTCCTGCTGCCCCTCACCCTCTCACCCACCACTCACCCCAGCAGGCCATGTGGCCTTCTTGCTTTTCTCCAGCAGCCAAGCTCGTTGCTGCCTCAAGTCAAAGTTCTTTCTCTGTGTCTTCATCTAATTCATTCCTCTGTTTGATCCACAGCCTTCTCAAATGTCATCTCTCCAGAGAGGATGATTAAGGAATATCTGGCTAAAGCTGTCCTCTGAGAGACAACTTCTCTCTTCCTGGCTGTATTTTTCTTCAGAAAACTCACCATTACTTGACATCTGGCTGAGTTTTTATTTCTGTGTTGGTTCACTGTCCTTACTCCCAGCAGAATGCAAGCTGCATGAGGTCAGGATTCTCTCTGCACTCTTCTCTGCTGTGCCTGGTGGGGAGCTCATCAGTTCTGTTGCCAGAACAAAAGAACTGAATCAATCAGAAAACTTTTACAGAGAAATGGTAATTAGTCACGTATGTTTTTCTCCCATATGTGTTAGGAAAGAAACTTAGAATTATTTTTTAAAATGAGATAAACAAAAACAGAGGGTTAGGTTGCTTTATCCCCAATCTCCATTTGGCCTTTTGGAAAATTATTTAAATTAATTTTTCTTCAAATTTGAAGTTAATTTTACTCACTTTATCCAAGTGCTTAGAAAACAAATGGAAATTAGAGGCTAAGAGTCTGTTTTCTGGATATCCATGTCTTTTGTCTGACTACTATTTTGAAAATCAGGCTTTGTGAAAAAATTAGTCTGTATAGGAATATGGACATGATACAAAGTTAACTTTTGGCTGTAGCTACTTGGAGTGAAAGGGTGACCTGAACAGTTAAAAAAGATGCCTAACACAAGAAAACAGCTGAGAATTGAAAGGCATTTTAGATGACTCCACATGAAATGTGGATGCAGCTAATGTTTAACCCGATCCATCTTGGACAACCATGGTAACGGAAGCACTGTGCCAGGAAGGAAACAGAGGCCAATGTGATCATGGGAGACCCAGGGATCACAGATCTGGAAACTGAGCATTGATTTTCACTGGGAAAACAATACATGAAACCAGAAAATGGATGGTTTGTGGAAACTAAGTTCTCCAGACGTTTCGGGCAAGCGTGCTACTGGTGGGTGCTAACATGTGTCCTAGGATTGCTGAAGTCACTGTGAGGAAGCCCAGAGCAGCATCAGCTGCACCGATGACGCTGACCAGAGAGAGGGGCTCCTATGTGTGTCCAGGGAAGGCTGCCTCGTACTGAGACTCTGAACTCAAAGGACGCAGCCTCTAAGTCACTAGTACCAGTGACCAAGCTTGGGCGTCCTCCAGGGCCTCTGCCCATCAGCCACAGCCCAGAGCCCTGTGCCCAGGGCCTCAGAGAGACACAAATCAGGACAGACAGGCCAGATCCACTTTCCTCTCCTGAGCCAGCAGCTGCACCGTTGGGTCACTTCTGAAGAAATAAGGCACGGGGAGACTCTAAGTGTTTCAGTGGAGACCACTCATGGTGTCCTGAGAGCAGGTGATCGGGTGGGCACTGATGGACGGGCAGGCAGATGGAGGAAAGGTGGGTCGGTAGGAACGCGGACTTTGGAGATTTGAAGGGGCTAGGTTTGAATCCCAGCACATTCATTTATTAGTTGTACATGAATGCGGGCAATTGAATCTCTCTGAAATTCCTTTCTTCAGTTAGTGCATGTGGACATATAATACGCAATTTTGAGAACTGTTGTAGGGACCAAAGCGATACGTGGAAAATTTCTTGCGCAAACTCCGTGTTCATGTAGAGTTATTGCGATTCCCTTGCTGTTGTGCTTATAAGGAATTATAAAAGAATATGAAATATAAAGAAATTAGAGTGATATTTGTGAGAGGCAGGAGACGGGCTCGCAGAATACAGGATTCAGGTTATTCAGATAAAAATTCAGAAAGACACATTGGACAAAGCTTTGGAACATGCACTGGGTGGAGTCAGCCTGTATCTTTTGGGTGGTGAATGAATAAGCATTTTTTGAGTCTTGAGCATTTCAGAAAGTTAAAAAAATTCATTTGAAGATCATTTTAGAATGCAAAGCTCCACGATGGCATATTATTCTACAAATGTTTACACACCCGGGGCTCAGCAGGGAAGGTGGGGCCATGCCGCCTCACACATGGTTTTCTGAGTCAGCCCAAGAACTAGCTCCATGTCCTAACGGTTTTCCCAATAAAGAGAATGCACATTTACTGTGAGCTTACACCTGCAGGTTGTCTGCATGCAATGACACAGTTCTCACAGCAGCCTGTTCTTACCTTATTGTTCACAAGTAGTGTTTGAACCCCAGAGAGGTTAAGCCCTTGTTGCAAATCTGTACTGGTTTGTTGGTGAAAATGTTTAACACTTAGTTCTCTGGGGGAAAACAGTCCTTCTCTGTGGTATGTGCCGATTTCCACAGTCAATATTGGCAGCTTGACCAACATCAAGGCACCAGCCCGACACCAAGCAGCTCGAAGTCCTCAGCGCCTGACCACCTGTCCTCCCAAGCTGACCGCCCTGTCCCGCACACCACTGGAGGCCACTACCAGGCTCCAGAACCGCTTTTCCAGAACGACTTTTCACTTCTCCCTGGTCTTTTCCAGCTTTACGTACAAGTTTTTCACTTTCCTCAAGATTTTATTTGAGATGAGTATATTCTAGAGCAAAACAAACAAAATTTTGAATGTCATTATTTAATTCACAAGTTATATTAGCATTTGCATTCAAGCTTGGGGTCTTACAATCAGTTTGCTGTTATTCCCATTATCTTATCTCCAGAACACACTTTTATTAAAAGAGGACTTGCTTCATGTTTACACGGAGTTCTTGTTGAATTTACAGAACATTGCTCATTGACTCCCAAAACCCAGGCTTTCCCTGAACCATGAGAACCTTGCTTTTGCGGGGATGAAAAAATAGCAAGAGTTCTAGTTACTGTTACCATATTTTTAGCAAAATCTTCTGGTGAGTTTACCTGCTGAGAGAGAAAATAACAATTTAAAATTACGTTAATATAATTTTAAAAGCGAACTATTATTTCTTAAGGTTTAGTTTGTGGTAAACGCTGCATAGATGATACTTTAAAAAACAATTATTTCTTAACCTTGAGCAAGGAACTTTTGCTGATGAAGGAGTTCAGGTGTTGAGATGTTAAATAACATGGAGCCATTTGGTGATAGATTGGGGATTGAAGCAGCAACTTCTGAATTAAATCCTTTTTCCTACATGAGCTTTAGGAAGGAAAGGTACTTGATTTCATTTTGGTTGCACAGCTGAACTTCATCAGGGACCTTTTCCCCTCAATGGACCAGGTTGAGCTCCCGATGAGCTCCTTAGAGGAATCTGACCGCATCCAAATTCCTTGCCCAAGCCTTTTGTTTTGTTTAACACCTGTTCATTTGCAGCACTCGATGCGTGCCAGACATTGTTCTAGATACAGGAGCAAGGAGGTGAAGACCAAGGATAGAAATTTGTGACAGAAATAAAAATATAGTGGAAAGAAATCAAACAATATAATATGTAAACAATATATTTTTCTAGAATAAAAGCTCCATAAGGCAGGAACTATTTCTGGCTTGTTCACCCCTTAATCGTCTCTGTAGAACAGGGAGGAAGCTACTAAATAATATCTAATGCATGCGGTTTTCATAAATGGAAGGCCATGGAATGGGGTATACAATTTGAATGCTTTAAAATACAGATAAAATAGCTTGGGGTGTTGTATTCAGTGTTTCTTTAGATATAGCCTTTATATTAAAGAAGTGTATTTACTAAAATGTATTCAATTATTTTGTATTACATTTTGCAAATAAATAATTAAAATATTTGACAACAGTTGACCCGTTGATGTTGCCTTTTTTTTAGGAGAAATTTGTGTGTATGTGTGTACACACACATATATATACAAACATACATATATAGACGCACTTATACATAAACATACCTATAGATGTATTTGTACATAAATATATATATACATGTATGAATATTTGCATACACATACAAGTACAAGCACATATGAAGACAGAGTTATATATCAAAATGTCAGTTATGTTACTGGAACTAGATCGCATATTTTACAAATTAAAGTCAGCTTGCTTAATACTATTTCTTAGGAAACAAGAGCGGGACATTTTTGGCATCATAACGGGACCCCTGTTCTCCAAGTCTGTGGCTTATAAGCAAGGATCTTGGGCGGCTGAGAGTGAGTTTCCTGACAATGGCCTATATGTCATGTTGGTTATTACTTTTTATTAGAAGGTGTTGGTGACCAGGCTCGCGCCTCGTAATCCATTTTGTTACTTTGTTTGCATCCTCCAGTCCTTCCTGAATGAATATGTGAAACGTCAGATCTCAAGTGTGATTGATGATTTTTCTGCATATGACTAATTTTCAAATCTATCTCAACCAAAGCCTCACTTCACCCACAGAGCCTAGATTTCATTCTTCTGCAACATGAATGAGGGAAACTCATCTGTATGTTGCACTTTAGATAATGGGATCCTCCTACCTGCTCCTGACAGCCAGGGAGGATATCTTAGCATAACATTTAATCATCTTCACACACACACACATGCATGCATAACTTCATGCTTGCAAAAATACCAAATGTCTCTGAACATGAAGCCCCATCTTCTGAAAACTGACCAAGCTAAAGCAGTATCAGCATTGGCCAAAGTCAAGCCTACTTTTATCTCTCCAAACTGAAGCGAACTAAGACTGTTACAATTTTGTATACAGCTTCAAGTTGCAATGCCCTATAGGAACAATTCTGCATGAAATCTTCAACCCTTTTGCTCCGTGTCCAGAAAAGTATGCAATGTATAGCAAACATTTCATTAAGACAGATGTAGAACTCCAAAGTACTTGCCAGTTTTAAGCCTCCCTTGAGACAGTAGGCCCAGGCTATTCTTGACACTTACATTTCAGTCCGTGTGGTATTGCCTGTGTTCCATTTTGAGTGTAGAAGAGATTAGACATCTTTTGTTCATCTGCCTGAGCCACAGGACATTCTGCCCTGCCTCTAACTGATTGGGTAAATGTGCACGCTCTGCCGGTTGCCAACCCGATAAGTGTATTTCCTTCTTCCATGCCAAAAAATATGGATTTTTTTTGTGCGTGAAAACAATGTGCCTGTGACAGTTAATTTTATGTGCAGATTTCAGACCTGCCAGTCTCCAAAATTGCATGAACTAATTTCTTAAAATTTCCTTTCTCTCATTGTACATGTGTATGCGTACATGTCTATGTCTAGTCTATGCCTATGTCTCTATCTATACCTATGTCTATGTCTATTATGTCTGTATACGCATATGTCTACGTATATTACCTGTCTATGTGTATGTATGTCAATATCTATGTCTCTATGTATATGTCTATGTGTATGTCTAGTCCGTATGTATATGTTGTCTGTGTCTACGTACATGTCTATGTCTATGTGTATTTGTATGTCTCTGTGTATGTGTGTGTGTGTCTGTATGTCTATGCCTATGTGTCTATGTCTCTTTGTGTATGTATATGTGTATATCTATTTGTATGTCTATAGCTATGTGTGCCTATATCTATATGTATGACCATGTCCATGTCTGTGTCTGTATGTGTATATATATTTGTATGTCTCTGTGTATAAGTATGCCTGTGTCTATGTGTGCGTCTATGTCTATATGCCTATGTCTATGACTGTACCTGTGTTTATGTCTACGTGTATGTCTATGTCTATATGTATGTACACATCCTATTTGTTCTGTTTCTTTGGAGAATCCTGACTAGTAGAATAGCCACATACAAATACTTAACTTACTTCCAGTTCGATTCTGTCTGTCATAGTAACAACTCGTGGCCAGTGACAGCTAACTGAAGAATGACTGAATGAGGTTTTGGAAAATGATCTTGTTTTCTTGTTAAAAACAAATGCTTTTTCTGGCATGGCCCCCTTTCTCCTCTTCATCCTCTTCCCTTTCCTCTATCTAGAGAGCAAAACTAGCAGTTCCTTGGATTTTAGAAGCACGTCGACTGACTAAGCAAGAAGAGCAAAATTAAACATATTCCCAGATATATTGTAGTAAACTGCAGAACATCAAGTTAGAAGAAAACCATAAATGCGAGCAAAGAGAAAAGACTGATTATTAAACAATTCAACTTGTAGTTGTCTTCTCATCAACAAAAATAGAGGCTAGAATACAGTGAAGAACATTTTTAAGTTGTAAAGAAAAATAGCTATCTACTTAGATTTCCACAATAAAATAATTTTTTAACTTATAACTAAAGATAAAATCAATGTGTATTCAAAGATTCAGAGTGTTTATCACACATAGACTCCAAATCAAAGTAAAAATAAGGAAGGTAATTACAGGGAAAGCAGTTGTTCCTTAGAAGGAAGAAAATGAGATGTGGAAATGAAAGTCACAAAAAAAGATGGTGGTAAACACACATATAAATGTAAATAAGCATCGACTGTATAAAATGACAATATGATTAATAATATCATGCAGTTTAAAATTAAAGTGGGGCATTATTTCTGGCAGTATGATAGATTATATTTCTAAACAAAATATTTTCCTATACCTTTTCCTGAGAACAAATGAAAAGGCAGAATATTTGAGGTTTGCAACTGATGGCAAATAGGAACATGACGTTATGATCGGCGTTCACAGCTGGCGGCCACGGCAACGCAAAGGCTCTCAGAAACTCTTGATGGGACACATCTCTTGTGACAGCTTAGAACACCGACTGCTTGCAGAGAAAGGAACTGAGAAGGAAATGGGACTGGTTAGGAAATTCAGTAATAACAAGAAAAACAGCATCCTTTGAGAATCTGGAATGATAGATCTCTGTGATTCTGTCTTGACTTCAAATGTATGATCTCAGTTTGGTTATGGGAACCCAAGTAGGGTGTTTCAATTTAGATAATACCAGGTTGTTACTCTCTTTCAGTGCCTGAAAAAATAAGTAAATATTATCTGTGTAAGTGAAGCCTCAATTCAGTACACAGGATTAAGGTAAATAATAATAATAACCAAAGGATGATGCCATCATATATGAGGGCAAGCAGAAATCCAGAGAAAATAAGGACAAATTGGCAACAACAAATTAGACCTTCTTGTACTTCAGGGAACTGAATAATCCCAAATAGTTTACAAAAAAAATAATAATTCAGGATATAAAAGATAGGATTAAAGATAAGCAAGCCATAATGCATTAGAAAAAGTGGTTAAGTAGAGGCTAGGTGCAGTGGCTCATGCCTGTAATCCCAGCATTTTGGGAGGCCAACGCGAGCGGATCACTTGACCTCACAAGTTTGAGACCAGCCTGGGCAACATGGGGAAACCCCACCTCTACAATAATACATTAACTAGCCAGGCATGGTGGCACACACCTGTAGTCTCAGCTCTTCAGAAGGTTGAGGCGGAGGATAGCTTGAGCCTGGGAGGCAGAGGTTGCAATGAGCTCAAATTGCGCCACCGTACTCCAGCGTGGGTGACAGAATGAGATGTTGTCTCAAAAATTTTTTTCAAAAAGTGGTTAAGTAGATTTGAAAAATAATCTTATTTGTTAAATAATTTATTTGTTTTAGAACTTATTTAATCTACAATTTTACAAGTACAGATGTTGCAGATAAAAACAAACTAACAAAAATAATGGATGTTTAAGACATCAGATTCAAATCAGCCAAGAAGTAAATCAATGAGCTGGAAGATATATCAGGAAAAAAAATTACTCATAATAATAGGTGGACAAGGTAAGGAAATAATGAAAGATAAATTGAGATAGAAAAGATAAAACAGCAAGGTTTAACATAATCAACATTGATAACAGTGCAATAACAATAATCAATGTCCCAGAAAGTTAGAATAGAGACTGAAAGATAGGTAATAATCCAGCAAAGTCTAATATATACATATTCACCAGTTTAAAGGTACTGGTCTAAGTGTTATAAATGTTTTAACTCTTTAATAATCCTATAATGTTTATAAATATTTATAAGCCTATAATCATATAATATTTGTGAAATTATTGTTCCCATTTTAAGTATAAAGAGACTGAGGCATCAGAAAGTCAAGTAACTTTACCAAGGTCATGGTGTTCTTAAATCATAAAAGCATGATTTGAACTCTAAATGTCTGCCTGCCGAGCTTGGACCATCAGTCACTCTGGAGCTTGAACTTTTAATCACTCTTCTATTTGATAGAGTAATGACTAAAGAATTTCCCACAATTTTTCAGGGGTAAATTTTCTGAAGTACCTAAGTTTTTCAGTAAATCTAAATCTGTTCTACAATCGAAAGTTTATTATAAATCTGAAGTAGATATGATGGAAGTCAAGGGTGGAATCTAGGGAGGAGAGATGACGGTGTACGTAGGAAATGTCAGGTCTTTGCTTTACAGAGTGTGAAGTCTGGAGAAATTGTTTAAAGATTTAAAATTTAAGTGAAAAGGTAATGACAGAGGAAATAATGAAGGGCTCTATATGTGTATTTACACACATACATCTGTATGTATATAAGTGTTATATAATACACATTTTATATACATTGTAATGCAACATATTATGGCTATATAAAATTATATATATAATTTACTAGAATATATAATATTAATTATATATAATTTAATATAGACATTATATATTTCATTGTAATATATAATATATGACATTCTATGTAATATAATAATCATATATTAATATGTTATATTATATACTAATATTATATATTAATATTATATTTACCAATATTATATATTAATATTAATATAATATATTAATCATACATTAATTAATATATGATTAATTATATATTAATCATACATTATATCATATAATCATATAATATTATATATATATATTATATATAATATATATGATATATATATAATATATCATATATATTATATATAAATTAACATATGATTAATATATGATTAATATATGATTAATCATATTAATATATGATTATTATAGTTAATATATATAATATATATATATATAATATATAATATTATAGTTAATATATATAATTTTATATGGCCATAACATATTGCATTATAAGCCAAAATATGTTGCATTTTATATATTTATATATAAAATATGTTGCATTTTATATATTTATATATAAAATATGTTGCATTTTATATATTTATATATAAAATATGTTGCATTTTATATATTTATATATAAAATATGTTGCATTTTATGTATTTATATACATATAAAACTACAACAGCTAAATCCACATTTATCACAGCAAAACCTCAATAGACTCTCTATACATTACATAGACAAAAAATGTAGGCGAAGCATATGATTTAGCAATGTAAGGGGATTCTTTATTCACCAAAATGAAAACCAGAAATACGTAGGAGTGATGCCTGGGATGATTCTGGGAAGACGACACGAGGGAACACCAGGGCTCCTCCCCACAGAGACAACACTTTCATGGCAGAATCTGTTTGATGTAACTATTTTGGAACTCTGGAGGCCATTGAAGGTTTCCAACTTCCAGGGAAAAGCGCGGGCATTAAAGTGTGGTTAATTTACAGCTCACAACAGAGTAGCAGCTACTCATCCCAGCTAGCCCCACGGCAGGCAGCTGCACACGTGTTTCTGCACGCAGCTTGTGGAAACCAGGGTAGGCAAATAGACCCTGTCCTCCAAATATCAAGGATCTGTGCTCTGCTCATCTATTGCTGCTTCTAATCAAAGAGGTGCAGACAAAGTGGTCATTGTTGTTTAACCTTCCCCTATGGTGGCAGGCCCCTCCCACTCCAGCTGAAGTGACTTCCACGGAATTTAAAAAGTCTGGCGAGACATTACAGGTTAGTACAAAAGCAACTGCATATATGGGAAAAATTAGAAAGTGATCTAAGACTCAGAAAAAAACCTGAGAAGACCCTAAGTTTACACCTCAGGCTGATCTTCAGCACAGAGAGAACTTACAACGATGAAAACAGGAAAAAGAAAATCACTTAAAAAACATTAAAAAAATAGGGAAAAGGGAGAATTTGATTTTTAGTTATCACAATTTTAGATGCAAATGTCCATTTTTCAACAAAAAAATTCACAAGGCATACAAAAAAATAAGGTGTGGCTCATTCAAAGGAAAAAATTAATCAATAGAAACTGTCCCTGAAAAAGACTTAATGAAAGATCTAATAGACAAAGACTTTTAAAAAATTACTTTAAAGATGCTCAAAGAAAGGAAGGAAGATGTGAAAACATCAAGAAAACTGTGTAAACAAAATGAAAATATCAATTTTTTTTCTACAGAAGACAACCTAAAAAGAAACAAACAAAAAATTCTGGAGCTGAAAAATACAATAACTGAAATAATTCACCAGAGGGCGCGGGCGCAGTGGCTGACGCCTGTAATCCCAGCACTTTGGGAGGCCGAGGCGGGAGGATCACGAGGTCAGGAGATTGAGACCATCCTGGCTAACATGGTGAAACCCCATCTCTACTAAAAATACAAAAAATTAGCCTGGTGTGGTGGCGGAGCCTGTAGTCCCAGCTGCTCGGGAGGCTGAGGCAGGAGAATGGCGTGAACCCCGGAGGCGGAGCTTGCAGTGAGCCGAGATCGCGCCACTGCACTCCAGCCTGGGGGACAGAGCGAGACTCCGTCTCAAAAAAACAAACAAACAAAAAAAAAAAACAATTCACCAGAGGGACTCAAAGGCAGATTTAAGCAGGTAAAAGTAATTATTAGTTTATATTTTTGGTCACAGAAGAAATAAAAATATAATTTTGTGACATCAACAAAGGAAAGTGTTGGGAACAGAGTTATAAAGAGCAGAATTTCTGTATGCCATTGAAGTTAAGCTGGTATAAATTCTAATACTGTTATAACTTTAGAATATTTAATGTAATCCCCATGGGAACCACAGGTAAAATAGCTATACAATATATGCAAAAGAAAATGAGAAGGAAATTTAAATGTTTTACTATAAAACTCAGCTAAACACAAAAGAAGACAGTAATGCAGAAAATAAGGGAAAAAAACTATAATGCATAATTGAAACAAACAACAAAATGACAGAAGTCAGTCCCCCCTTATCAGTAATTACTTGAACTGTAAATGGATTAAATTCTCTGATCAAGACAGAGATCAACAGAATAGATATTAAAAAACAACAACAGCGTGATCCGATTACATGTGGTATATAAGAGAATACTTTAGATCCAAATATGCGAATAGATTAAAATTGCTGACATGCTACAACATGAGTGAACTGTCAGGACATTGCACTAGGTGAAAGAAGGCAGTTGCAAAAACACAAAAACCATTTGATTTCACTTAAGTGAGATACTCAGAGCAGACAGAATCATAGAGACATAAAATAGAATGGTGGTTACTGGGCTTTGGGAAGAGAGGAATGGGATGTTATTGTTTAATTGATATAATTTTCAGTTTTCCAAGGTGAAAAGAGTCAGGGGGATGGCTGATGGTGATGGTTGCATAAGCATTATTAATATATTTATTAATACATTATTTTACACTTGAAATGGTTAATGTGCATGTTATATGTATTTTACCACAATTTATAAAATGGGGAAAAATTGTGCTGGAGGTTCTAAGCAAAGATTTGAGCCAAAAATAAAAATTATAAAGATTTGATACAAATATTGCATCTCTCTCCATTGGGGTTGCAAAGTATACTGGTAACAAATTGACTATATTCAATTAGATAACAAAAAAAGTGAAAACGACAACCTACGATAGTGCTGAGAATCTGAAGTAATATAACCTTTTCTCCAGTGAAATCAAAATAATTGAGTACAGTGTATTTCAAGACCTTCCTATAAGAAGCAAAATCATCCAGCAGTCCTGAGAGGTGGCTGATTTCTCTATGGAGCTAAATGTCATAAGAGAGTGTGAGTCACTTTTGAAGGGCTCATTGAAGAATAAAGTATAAAATACTTCAAGTAGTAAGGGAAGGAGAAATTAACTCTAAAGAAACTATCAAGAAATTATACATATCCCAAGTTGTATATAACAAAAAATATACCACCTATCAAATGCCCACTGACTGGATACACTGGCTCATGCCTGTAATCCCAGCACTTTGGGAGGCCCAGGCAGGCAGATTGCTTGAACTCAAGAATTCGAGATCAACCTGGAGAACATAGTGAGATCCTGTCTCTACATAAAATACAAAAATTGTACCTGCATCCACCTATAGTCCCAGGTACTTGAGAGGCTGAGGTGGGAAGATCACCTGAGCTGGGGAGGTCGAGGCTGCAGTAAACTGGGATTGCAGAGTGAGACCGTCTCAAAACAAAAACAAACAAACAAACACCACATGGTTCTGTTCTCTCTGGGAAGATTGGCATATGTTGAGCCAAGCCGTAGTCTAACCGGCCAAGGTTCCTCACGAGGAAAGTATGCAGATCCAGGGGCTTTTGTGAATATTCTAGGAGCTCATGGCTAGTGTGGAAACTGTTCACTGCCAAGCCAGTGGCTCACCAAATTTAGACCACATCAATAGGGACCCTCGGGAGAATTGGGTTTGGTTCAGATCCTTCGTAAGACATTAAGTCAGCTTTAGAAAATCCTTTTCTAAATCCAGAAGCTCTTGTGAAAAGAGACTTTTCCATTTACACCTGCTTGCACCCACCTGGAAGATGTCAAAACCAAATACTGTTTCACTACAGTGGGATCCACAGAAGTCATCCCATTCTACCTGAAATGCCAGTTTTCAAGCCTTAGTTGGAATAACTGCCATCTATTGCCATCACCTCCATCCCTCCACTCCCTCCACCCACACTTTTTGTAGTGCTAAAAATTCAGACTTTCCTTCCTCAGCAATTACTCTGAATTTTTTTTATTTCCTTGCTTGGCAAATAAATAAACTCAGTTTTGTTTGAAAACAATGAAGGTGGTCCTCCATAGGGCATGGGTTAGAGGTAAACAGGACCAAGGTGGAGATGGCTGCTTTCATTACAAGCTCTTAGACAGTACTTGATACATTTATTTCAGTAATGTGTTGTTTGATTAAGTTGAACCATATAGGATTTGCATTTGTATAGACCAAGAACAGCAGAATATTCAAAATTTATGAAGTTTTACTTAGTTTAATAATTTTTCAGGCAAACCCTTATAAAGAAAAAGACTCTAGAACTTGAAGTTACCAATTAGCAATTCTCACAAATGGAATCTGTTTTGCTTTGAAGATGTGCCATATTAAAGAAGATTTCTCACATCTAAAACTAAGTAAAAGAGCTATGTGAAACTATATTCTCCAAGTATTCATTGTTATTCAAGCCATGCATTTATTATAGCTGTTTCTCTCACTTTTTCCTTAAGAATTTATCAATTTTAAAAATACCTAATATATTATCACCATATTATGCTTATTTTTAATTATTTGCTAATTTAAAAATCTAATTAAATGGTGATGAACACTGAGACCAAAATTCTATCTTTTTAATTTGATTAAATAATGTCATTAATTTTTGCCACACCCTTTACATGGAATGCACTCTACATTTTTATTTAGTTGAGTTCTAAAATATATATAATTAAAGTACTGATAAAATTCTCCAGTTTTGATTTACATATTTGTAACTATATTCCTTGGTCTTTTCTAAGTAATTTCTTGATAGATCACAGTCACATTAATGTAAATTTAACTTATTATTTTTAACATTTGTCTCTGAATTTAGCTATTTTTTCCATTACCTGCATACTTTTTGCACATATCACTTTGGGTTTGTTATTTTTTTTCTTTTTAGATGTATATATACATATACATATGTGTGTGTGTGTGTGTGTGTGTGTGTGTGTGCATACTTTTTTTTTCTTCTGAGTGAATAATAACAGTAGAGTAGTATGGAGTTGTGGGAGCATGGACAGGGTGCCAGCAGATATGATACCTAGGTGGCTTGGCTCTGTCCTAACTAGCAGGTGTGTTTGGCCAAGTCACTTTCAAATATCTCTCACTTGCTAACCTACAAAAGGAGGACTGTGTGTTGACCATTGTTTGGTTCTCCTAGTGTCAGATTTTACAATTGCATGACCTGTAGCTATACACACTCCATTTGTCTGACCATGTAAGAAACTTACTACAAGTTATGGACACAGAACACGTAAACCCAGTGCCTCTCAGCTGGAACATCACACCATGCTGTCTTCCCTTTCAGGGCACCACATGCCTTAAAATTTTATCGGCACCTATGGTGATTCTGAAACTACATCTGGAACTTCTAAAAGTCATTACCAAATGAAGCAATCTTATATTTTTTAAAGTGGGCCAATTGCAGACCACGCTTTGTGACTGCTGGAATTACTCCCACATAGAACCAACAACTGGGTCTAATAACCCACTCCATTGAGAAATTATAATGGCACAGTTTACCATACCATCAAAAAGTGAATTCCCAAACAACTTAATTTTAGCTCCTAGGTTCTCACTAACCAGTTTCTTTTTAAATGATGACTCAATTGCAGAATGCTGACTAAATCCACTGTTCATTACAAAGCATCATGCTCACACACTGACTTTATAAGTAATCTGTTAAATTACGTCTTTTATCCTCTTTGGATTGTTTTTATTAATGTTTGGTTTTGAATAAATGCATAGGAATTTCCCCACTTTCCTCTCAAATATTTAGACCAGAAGTAAAAATGTGAAAGTGCCCCAGAACTGCCTTAGCACATGCTAATCACAAGTGAATACACCAGTAAGTTATACCCATCCACTCAGTCTGTTAATTGACCACTAACAAGCATGGTGGACATTCAGAAATCAAACACATATATTAAGCTTCACATTGCTCATATCTTGATTATTATGGCATTGGCTTCTGTAAATAAGTTGTTATAATTTATGACACTGAATTTTTACCGTATCTGGCAGCTGGAACTATGGAACAATGAATTAATTGATTGGTTTTCATGAACTTCAATGAAGAAACAAAACCAATTGGTCTATATGTCATAGCATTTTTGGTTAAGACTGATATCAGGTTTGTGGTTGTTATATGTGTTGGTGCATTTAAAAATCGTTTGCATTTTAAAGTACTTCTAATAATTTTTAGATATGTTTGTTTTTAAATACTTGACATGGTGAAGCAGGACTAGATTTTGTCAGTGGTACAGATGGTGCATAAAGGTTACTGGACAACAATTTGCTCATTGAAAGCAATTATATGACAAGGAAAAGAAATTATGCTTGGAAACCATGGCATTATACATTATATATTGAAATTATGTCTGGAAACCATGGCATTATACACCATATATTGAGAAAGGGGTTACTCACTTGAACACTCTTGAGAGCATTTATAATCTAAAGCTCAGTTACAAGTTTTGGTCTCAGAAATCAAGGACCTTTCCCAAAGACATGTAACAACGGAAAATACCACTTATTGATCAGAAAAGAGAATTTCATTGGCTAAGGAAGTTGATTTGAATGGTGGGTTAAAGTTATGTCAAACTAACCGAGGCATATAAAGTTTGTATTTATAACTTAACTGTGATGTCTATTGCTTGCTTGCTAAGAATATATTTCAGGATTTTTTCTGTATTTTTTTTAATCCAACAAAAGTAATATCAAGAGGTCTTCTCATTTCAGATGATATGTTTTGGAAGTCACCTTTTTGTTGGCTCTGAACAAACCTGTACGTTCTTGATAGGAAAAAAAGTCATTATATGAAAAATATACTTGCACATGCATGTTTATAACAGCACAAATTGCAATTGCAAAGATATGGAACCAGCCCAAATGCCCATCAATCAAGTGGATTAAAAAAAAAACCTGTATGTTATAGTCTCACTCATAAGTGGGAGCTAAGCCATGAGGATGCAAAGGCATAAGAATGATCCATTGGACTTTGGAGACTCAGGGTGAAAGGTTGGGAAGGGGGTGAGGGATAAACGACTAGAAGCTGGGCTCAGTGTATACTACTCGAGTGATGGGTGCACCAAAATTTCAGAAATCACCACTAAAGAACTTACTCATGTCACCAAATACCACCCATGGAAAACCCAAAAACCTATGGAAGTCATTTTTTAAAAGAGAGTGAGAGATCACTAATTACAGTGGCCAATGTTTTCTGTAGTTGTGGTCAAGTCACCATGTAAGAAGTGGTAGTATGTGTAAGAAGTGGGAGTATACGTCTTTCTTAAAACTGACATTACAAATATATGGAGTCAAGGTATCTCACACATTCAAATCCTTCGAAAATCTGCTCTCTATACCTGCTCTTTCTTTCTCTCTCTCTCTCTCTCTCTTGCTCTCTCTCTCTCTCTGTGTATATATATATATATAATATATATAATATATATATATTCCTTTTGTATATATATGTGTATATATGTATTATATGTGTATATATTATATATGAGTATATATATTACATATATGTATATATATTATATATGTGTATATATATATTATATGTGTATATATATAAAAGGTATTTATATATAAATTTATATATAAATACCTTTTATTATATAAGTAAAAGAGGGAAAGTTTGTTCCACACTAACTCCAATCTCTACTTTATTTGTGCTATTTTTGCCATATATATATCTATTACATATTTGTGTTCAAAACCCACCATTAGAGATTTATAATTACAGTTTCATATCATCTTACATGTATTAAAGAAATAAGATAAAAAATTCTACATTAATTTTCTTATTTTTCATTCCAGTAGCCTTCATTTGTTCCTGCAGACTCGTGCTACTATTTGATGGCACCTCTTTGCTCCACTGAGTCTTTCTTCCCTTCAGCATTCTACGTATTATACTGTCAAATTAATCTCCCTCTCCTACAGCTTCAAAAATTCAATTTTATTGATCCTGTCTGATATGGTTTGGCTGTGTCCCCACCCAAATCTCATCTTGAACTGTAGTTCCCATCATCCTCATTTGTTGTGGGAGGGACCCAGTGGGAGGTAAATAAATCATGAAAGAGGTGATCCCCATGTTGTTCTCGTGATAGTGAGTTCTCACAAGATCTGATGGTTTTACAAGGAGCTTTTTCCCACTTTGCTCAGCATGTCTCCTTCCTGTTGTCACATGAAGGACATGTTTGCTTCCCCTTCCACAACGATTGTAAGTTTCCTGAGGCCTTCCCAGCCATGCTGAACTATGAGTCAATTGAACCTCTTTCCTTTATAAATTACCCAGTCTCAGGTATGTTTTTATTAGCAGTGTGGGAATGGACAAAATACACTGCCTTCTGCTATTGTTTTTTAAAAAAATAATGAAGAGAAGAAAGAGGAATGTGCAGTTACACAGTGCTTTGTCATTACTATGAGATTACTTTTACTGGTGTCCTTTGTTTATTTATGTGACTGAAATCACTGTCCTGTATTACTTCTCAGTTGGAATAACTTCCTTTAGTATTTCTTTAAGGCATGTGCACTGATAAATGAACCCTGTCAGTTTTCTTTATTTTAAAATGTCATTATTTCAACTTTATTGATATTAACTTTTCATTTCCCTGGTTATAGAATTTTTATTTGATAGTTTTGTTGTGGGTGTGTGTTTTCCTTAAGCATGTTAAATATGGCATTCCACTACCTTCTGACCTCCATTATTTCTAGTGACAAGTCCACTGTTAATCTTAGTAAGTTTAATTTTAAGTGATGAATTCTTCTCTCTTATTGTCTTAAAATATTTTTTCTCTATCTTTGTCCTTTAATATTTTGACTGTGATATGTCTATATGTGAGTCCTTGTTGTTACTCTACTTCGAGTTTAAGATTCTTTTTTATACATCAAGTGTAGATTTTTGTTTTTCATCATATTTAGGACATTTTCATCATAGTTGTGAATGTTTCTCCTAACCCTTTCTTTCTTCACCTCATTATGTGTATTACACTAATTATGTATATGTTGATGTGCTTAATGTTGTCGCACAAGTCTCTGAGGCTCTCTTCATTTTTATTCAATCTCTTTTTCTATTTTTCAGGTTTTATAATCTCTAGTGATCTTTATTCAAGCTCACTAACTTCTTTTTTCTGAAAGCACAAATGTATTGTTGAGCTTAGTAAATTTTTCTGTAACTTACTGTTTGACTCCAGAATTATCATGTGACTTTTGTAAATTCTAGATTTATTAATTCCTTACTAATAAGCTCTTTTAATGAATCATTGTCATTATATTTGTCTCTTAATTTTTTAATAATAATTTCCTGTAGTTCTTTGTGTATATTTATACTAGTTGCATTAAAATATCTTTCTGGTAAACCCAACATCACGTCCTCTTAATGGCAATTTCTACAGCCTTATTTTTGTTCCTATACAATAATCAGATTATTCTATTTGCAAGTCTTATAATTTTTTTGTTATAAAGTGGACATTTTAGATATTATATCATGAAAATTCCAGATTTTAATTATTCCTACTCCCCCACGTAGATGTTGGTGTTGCTGTTTCTTAATTGTTTCTTGTTATTTATTTAGTTGTTTTGCTGGACTAATTCAGCAAAGTCTGTTTTTCCTGAAGTGTGCAGCTTCAATGTTTCTGTTCATTTTTATCTCTTTTTAAAAAATGTCTAATTTTAAACTTAGATTCCCAGAAGTCTCCCCTGGGTCATCATAGCTTAAAGTTTAGCCAGTGATTGGTCAGTTTTACCTAAGCCTTTCAATTTTGCTCATAGATCTGTGTGGAATGGATAATGCTTTCCAGTTGACCCTTTGTTCAGCCAGAAACGAATCACTCTCAGATGCCTGCTCTGTTTGCTCATGAGTGGACACACCTAGTGCATACGCACAGCATTTCAGACTCTCAAAGATGTAACCATATCAGGGGCCTTTTAGCTATCTTCTTCCCTGGTCCTTTTTGTTCAAGTTCTGAGTGGTATGTTCACTTGCTTGTTGCTACTAATTTCATAAACCATCAGCCTTCTCTTAATTGCTCACCTCTAATATCTCTATTAATTTTTGATAAAGCCTTAAGGCCTGAATTCATTTATGCCATATTCCTATAAAGTCCACTTCCTCAGTAGAGCTGGGTGAACCTCTGTGCCACTGCACCAGAGCTGGAGGTGGGGTGAGGGTGGCCTGCTCTTACTGGAGAGAACACTCCTACCTTGCAACAGAGAGTTGGAAGGATGGTTGCCCCTTCTTGGTTTGCCTCTTCCATCATGGAGCCTATGACATATGAGTGGAAGTCTGGTAATGGTGGTAGGGAGCGATTGATAATTAAATATTTTTGGCTTGATGCACTTAGATCCTATAATCTACAGGTGGGAGTTGAGTGGCTGAAACAAGTCCCAGTTTTCTTGTGCATACCCACCCAGAGAAGATTTTCTACAACAGAGCTTGAAAGACATGCAAGATGCTGGCGGCTCCCTTCCAGGGCAAAACTGTAGCCTTATATCTAGAAGCTGGGGGAAAGGGAACCCTTACATTGTAAGCACCCATCCTGAGTAATTCCCACAACAGGGAGCTTGTGAAGATGGTGGAAGGGGCATGTTATGGCTCAATGGCAGTCTCACTCCATTCTTAATGAGGTTTATCAGGTTTTCCAGGATAAGTTCTTCTCAATTTGCTGGTATGTCCTTAAGTCAAGTCCCAGAAACTTTAAATGTATGTGTTTTATAATTTTCACCAGTGAAATGGTTGTTTCATTGAGAAAAGGATCTGCCAATCTCCTCACATAACCATTTCAACTCTTCTAACAACATTCTTTATTGGTTCTCGATGACATTATGATTGTGGTCAGATTCCATTACGTGGGAAGATCTGACATGGAGATTAGCACCAGAAGTTTATGATGGTGCATTCTGAGGACTTGTCAGAGGAGGACTTGTCAGAGGAGGGAGAGGAGCAGTATTTGACAGAGTGTTGGGCTGTGATGTAGTTATAATGAAGTCCTCAGCTGACCAAAAAGTTGAGATGGCCCTCAAAGTTGTCCTGAAGGAGGTACCCTTTATGTGCTCCACATCAGCAAAACACTGGGCATAAGCTAAACCTAGAAAGTGGTCAGGATCTCAGTGAGATGGCTGTATTTAGCAGCAACAATTCTGGAGAGAGTGACAGCCATTGGGCATGAGCCAGCATCACACTCCTCAGCTGGGAGAAGAGGTTCTTCAGACCAGAACTGGGGCTCTGAGAGAAGCTGCTCAGTCTCCAGCAAAGTCACTCTAATACTGTGGAAATCAAGCATGGATTTATTTAAATTAATCTTGTTTACTTGCTGTACTTCCTATGTAAAGTCCAGGATTTATGTATTTTATCAATTCTGAGAAATTTTCCTTCATTAGATTTTGTAATGTAACCTCTTCCCAATTATCTCTATTCACTCTCTCTGACATTTCTTTCTAATATCTCCTCTACTGTGTGGTGTATTTGTATAAGGCAAAGCCCTACCAAATAAATGGGGTGAAAACACTCCAATTGTGAAAATTCAGGGTTCCGTTACTGTGAAGTCAATAAAAATCAATAATTTTCAGTCTGTACTATTGCAAAAGGAATAAAAGTACAGATTAGTGTAATTTATACTATGTACAACTGGATGTAGTATAAACTAAGAAAGTGCTAAATGTCACAATTTTATTATTTCCTAATAATATCTACCCTTAACCCAGCTCCCATTAAAAACAAACAGCAAACAAACAAAAATGCCAGGAGATAACGAAGGAAGCCACATCATTGAAGCCCTGTGGCTGGTCAAAAGACAAGTGCCAGTTTTCAAGTGTGTCCTGCTGGACTCTGCACGATCTTGGATGTTTGCCGTACTCCATTCTTATCCATACTAAGGTATGCTTAGAGATCTGGGGCTTTTAAATAGTCCGTCAATCATTTTTAATCAATAGTATACTTTAAAAATTATTGGTGTTTTAGTATCTGCTAATATAATGTCCCCTTATATTTTGAAATATGTTCTTAGCTAGTCTTGGATGAGACGTAGAAAGGGAGATCCTCATGGGACCAGGGGAAGTATCCAAGCGAAAGACAACACTTCCCGCTGTCTCAGAGCTTACAGAGATCAGGTGTGTGCTATTCATATTTCAGCTTTTGGCAAACCTTGAGTCTCTGCACTGGGATAGAAAGTGGGAGAATGAAGAGTGCTTCTAATTGCCTTTAGACACACAAACTTGCATTCTTCTGCCAACATAGCACAATGTGGCACATTAAAAAAAAATCCAGTTGTTTTACCTTTGCAGTTAGTGGAAATTCCACCCACATCCGGCAAATAGATTGGCTTCCAGTGTTTGGTGATGACATAACATTTCATCATATTCTTTGTTTTCATAGGTACTTCAGTGTGAAGTTAGTCTGGGCTATCTGTAGGACATTTAGAAGCCATTTTCAATTGGAAAACCTTTCCCTTTTGGGAATGTATTTTATTTCCCAAATAATTTTGATATATTGCACATCTGTTAATAAATTTACTTTTAAAAGAGTTATTTAATATGAAAATGAATTTTATTTTTTAAAGAGGGATGCATGTATTATATTATAATGTCATTTTTAGAACACATTTTCTTTCAATTTCTTATGCTCTATTCTGGGCTTAAGCATGTTCTTATTTAATTTGCTGAAATCTCAGGGAAAAAAAAGTCTCCATTGGTATTGAAACAAGATTTATAATAAAACAGTACAGGTATAAGTTTTGACACGTCCAATTGCAGACACATTTCTCTTCCCCTGTGTCCAGACTTTAATCAGGATCTTTTGTTGTACAATGAAAGCTGGGCAAGGCCCACTATTTTGTAGACATGTGCACATCCAGATCCTTCATAATATTAGTTAAAATCAATGTGCTGCTTTTTTAATTATTGCTCATGGTACAAAGCAGGGAAGGCTCATTTAGGAATGGATCGATATTGAAAAGGGATTGGTAGACGGCAGAGCAGTACATCAGGCGGCTTGATGTGAAAATCATTGGGTCTGTGCTGTGGTGGTTCAGAGTTATCCGTCTGGTTAGCCCCCAGCTGGCTGGGGGCGACGTAATAGGCAAACCTTCCACAAACCAGTGCTCCTTGCTGGGATGCTCCTGGAGGAGCTGCTACCTGGCATAAAGCATCATACACATCTTCAGAAAGAGGCGATTAAGACAGGCTGCCTCTGTCTGGCTTTTATTGATCACATGTAGCAAAGTTTGAATGTAGTGGAAGACTCATTTTCTTTATTCTTCGGGGAGTGTTTTTTTCTTAAGCTCCTGGATTTTGATAAGCAGACAGATATAAACTATTCTGAATGCTGCGTGAGTGTGAAGATGTGTAACATGTCTTCAGCAGACACCTAGGTATAGAGAGGAGCAAAGCAGAGAGAAGCCGCAGGGGTACAGAATGGTGGGGAGGAACTTAAACCTCCAGTCAGTGCCAGGGGACCCAGGCCATGTCAGCACCAACCAGAACTTTTCATTCTTGCTTATATCTCACACATTCACACTGAAAACATTCTGGAAACAAACTTAAAAAATTCCATAATCTTAGGGGCTGTAACAACATCACTAATGCATACCCACATAGCTGGTTGTCTAAATCTACCCATATTAACACATACATATTTTCGGATGGTAGTTATGGGTTATCACTTAGTTATTTCAGATAAGTGGATTATGCCACATTTTTACCTGTTTGGATTGATTATTGTGTAAATTAGTGAAATATACTTTAGATTAGATAATAATTTTATTAATTCATTAGACTGTAAATTGCAGAAGGACATCATGTGGCTTTGACAAGCAGAGAGAAGGTGCTGTGGTTTTGTGCAGCTTGAGGCAGCCCCCGGCTCACCGAGGGCCGGTTGGTGGTGACAGACCTGCTTTCAAAGAGCTGTCCCTCTCTCCATGGTCAAGCTTGCGAGGCCACCTCCAGGCTGGGAGGCTGCGCGGGCACCCTGGCTGTGAGGATGCGGCCAGGAATGGGCACTGCCTCACAGACCGTGCTTAGCATCAATGGGATTGATTTCCAGTCACCACTGACGCTTGATTGGTAAACCTTCTATTTTTTTTTTTTATGTTTTAATGATCGCCTGCTGTTTATTTTAATTTATTGTTCCTTGGCTAATAATTTGACTTACCAGATGGTCTGATTTTTGACTCCCAGCCAACATTAATAGTAATTTCTTTTTTAAAGTTAAGATAATGGTCAGGTAAATTGAGCAAGAGAAATCATAGACCCTTGAAAAAAACAACTGTAGATTTACACACATACACACATACACACACACACACACACACACAGCATTTGCAACGTCTAGCGAAAGCATAATCATGATATTTTACAATTTTACATTAAGCTGTGAAATATAAAAACCAGTTATACGAATGCTGGCAAATATATAAATTAATATCAGCGAATGAGAGAAAAAGCACAAAGATAAAAAGAGAGAGGTGATTGTAATTTAAGGAAATCCACTATACAATATAAAATATAAATGTTAAATGCATATGTAAATTAACATCTGATGAATCCATTTAAAAAAGGTTCTTGGTTTTGCAAAATAATCCTCACGAGACGTCTTTAAATGCTGGGTTCCCAAAGGTTTGTGGCTACTCATGGTAAAAATGGGTGGCCTGTCTCTCTCTCTCTCTCTCTGTCATTGTCTCTCTCACATTCTGTTTGGCCTAGCTTTATTTTACTTTATCGTTTTTATTTATTAGCTTTGATTTTTTTCGTTTATATATGTAATCTTTTTTCCCCTTTCAATTTATCTAAGAACTTACTTAAGGAAATGAGTTTATCAATCTGATTGATTGGCCTTACAGTCCAAACTTGCTCTGCAATGGGCTGGACCCACCTCCCCACCCCTCACCCTCCTGTGTGTGGTGACACTTTCCGCTGTCCCTTTCCTGGGCATATTCTCACTAATACCAGATGTCACATTGGCATCTGTTCTGAGGAAAGGTAAAATATGAAGGAGCCACTAGATCTTTATAAAAGCTTGATGGAAAACACTTAATGCTAAGTTTACATGGTGGAAAATAATAAGGAAAGAAAAATAAGGAAGAATTCATCACATTCGTGATAGATTCTAAAATAAAGCACCAAACACAGTAAAAGAAACATAATTTTTGCAATAACATGAAATTATTAGGACCACAAATATGAAGCCATTGGGGGAGATTAAATAGTCATTTATATGTTATTTGTGAAGTTAATTAATTTCTTGTCCTCCAGCATTTACCAAGTGCCCAGCCACAGAGGAAACACTGCCTCAGAGTGTGCACTAGGGTGGACAAGCTGGTGAAATTCCCACCGTGCAAATGGTAATTCCTCATTAGATTTCCATCAATCTGGTGGGCTAAGGTTACATGAATATATTTCTGATACAAACCCTAGAAATGTTAGGTAAAATGCTGAATAAAGTTATTTTAGTTGCAATGCTGATCTTACAAAAATAAAGAGAGCCCAGGCGCTTGCTTGTTAGAAGATCTGAAAATAGGAGCTGTGAGCATGAGGCTGAGACCATCTGATGGTGGGGACTGCGAGGTTGTTTCGAAGGCTCTATTGCTGGTGAAGACATAGAGGTGTGCTCTCCAGCTTGCACAGTTGGGTGTTGGGCCTGAGGCAATTGCTTTTGCCAGAGCCCTTGCAAGGTTACAACTTAGTAAAACTGTTGACGAGAAAAAAATGACAATTTACCCAAGAAAACAAAAGGAAAGGTCCTGCTCCTCCCAGGCCGTGGGTGAAAAAGAAGCAAAGGTATCTCCTGAGAATTTGGAACCATAGCTCTGCATGCTTCGTGGATTGGGTATTTGCATTTATTCTACTAACTAGGTTAAGAAAATATTATGATAGTTGATGCTGGGCCAGTAATAATGTCCTGTGATCAAATGAGGAAAAAACAATAACTTTCTAAAGTACAGTTGCACAACCCAGACTACAAGTAGTTGGCACAGAAAAAAAAAACTAGCCTCTTTAAATATGAAAATACAGTCAAAATGGAAAAACCCAATCATAACAAAAGCATAACTAAGATCCCAGCCGATACAACCAGTGGTATTAAAAACACCATAATAAGATTTCCAAATAACAAAGTAACAATCAGAATAAAAATATAAAATGACCCTGTCCAGAGAGGACTTGACTTTAATCACTTCTATTCAACACCATACTGGGGATTCTGGCAAGAAAAAGAAATAAAAAGCATCCATATGAGAAACTGTAAAGTCAAACTTTATTTGAAGGCAACATGATCATCTACAGAGAAAGTTAGATGGAATCTACTGAGAAGCAACAAGAATTGACAAGTAAGTTAGTTAGCAAGTTTGCAGAATAAAAGATTGGAATGCAAAAATCCATTGTATTTTCATATACTATCAATGAACAATTGAACATTAAAATTTAAAATGTGGTTTACAATTGTATCAAACATTAAGAAATATTTAGGAATAAATTTAACAAAAGATGCACAACGCCTATATACTGAAAAAGTTTCCTGGAGAAATTAGAGAAGATTTAAATAAATGGAGAGTTATACAATGTCCATGCTTCAGAAGAGTCAATATATTTAAGATGTCAATTCTCTGCAAATTGGTCTATAGATCCAACACATTCCCAATCAAAATCTAATCAGAGTTTTTGTAGAAACTGATATGCTGATTGCAAAATTCATGTGGAAATGCATGACACCCAGAACAGCCAAAAAAACTTGTAAAAAGAACAAGCTGAAATCACAACATTAGCTGATCTCAAGTCTTATTATAAAGCTACGTTAATCAGAATGACAAGGTATTGGTTGAAAGATAGACAAGTGGATCTGTAAAACAGAATAGTTGAGCCATAAAAAAACAAGAAAAATTAACTCTAAATGAATGACCTAATTTTAAATCCTTAAATGCTAATGCTTCTAGAAGAAAATGTAAGAGGAAATCTTTGCATCTTGGGTTAGGCAAATAATTTATAAATATTACACAAAAGCATGATCCATAAAATAAAAAAATGATAATATTGAACCTCCTCAAAGTTAAACACTTCTGCTCTGAAATCCAATGCCAAAACAATTTTCAAAGTATATAGACTGTGAGAATAGTTGGCAAAGAACATATCTAATAAAGGACGTATATCCAGAAATATAAAAATTTCTCAAAGCCCAATAAAATGAAAACAAACAACTCAATTAAAAAATGAGCAAAAGCTTTGAACAGACATTTTATCAAGGAAGATGTACAGATGAGAGCTTGAGCGTGTGAAAGCCTCTTCCGTGCAATGAGTCACTGGGTAAATGCAAGTGAAGAGGACCCGGAGTTCCCATTGGCCCCTACTGAAATGGTGAAACTGGAAAGGTTGACCGTACCACGACTGGACGAGGACGTGAAGGAATCAGAACTCGTGCACACCAATGGTAGGAATACAAAATGGCACATCCACTTTGGAAAACAGTTTGGTAGCCTTTAAAAAATGTCAATATATTCTTCTTATCAGTATTTACCCAAGAGAAAAGGGAGCATATATCCTACCCATACCTGTGCAAAAATGTTCATGGCAGTGAGGCAGCCAGGGGCCAGAGGTTCCCCAGAGAAACGCTAACCAGCCTGCACCTGGGGTGGAGCACGCAAGTTCACACCGTCTGCAGCTGGGAGGAACTTCTTTTCCTGGGTGGTACCTGGGGTTTAATCTGTGGGGTGGGAAGCATGTACTAAAAGGATGCTCACTCAGCTGAATCCCTGTTCCCCTTTTTTTCCCTTTTTGCCTCGTAAATCCCATTATTCTCACCATTCAGATTGTCTGCCAGCCTAATCTTTTGTGGCCCTGTGACAAGCACCTCGTCGTTACCTGAACTAAGAAAAAGTCCTGCAACAGCAGCTTTACCTGTAATATCCAGAAATTGGAAATGACGTCACTGTCCCTTAAGGAGCAGCGTATCCAGACAACCAAATACTGCCTAGTAATAAAAACCAGGGAGCTGCTGATACATCAAGGACGAATCTCAAAAAAGTCATGCTGAGTGACGGAAGCCAAACCATAAATGAGTACACACTTCTGTTAACTTCCTATTCCTTCCATAACAAATCACTGCACATGTAGCCACTTAAAAAAAGCACACAAATTTATTCTACAGTCGCGAAGGTCAGAAGCCCAAAGTGAGTCTCTTAGGCTAAAATCAAGGTGCTGTGGGCTGATTCCTCCAGGGGGCTGCAGAGGGGATCCGTTTCTCTGACTTCCAGCCTCCGGAGGCCACCTGTGGTGCTTGGCCCTGCTCCTGTTGTCACACCTCCTTCCTTGACTCTGTCCCCATTAGGACCCTGTGATGACACTGGGTCCACCAGACAATCCAGGACACTCTCCTCCTCTCAAGGTCCTTCACTGAATAGCATCTGAAAATTCCCTTTTGCCATGTAAGGCCAGGTATTTGCAGGTTCCGAGTATTAGGACATGGACATCTTGGGGGGCCATGATTCCAACTATCAAGATACTATCTGATTTTATTTGCATGCAATTTTAGAAAATGCAAATGAACCAATAATGAGAGAAAGCAGATCCGTGATGTCCAAAGGTGGAGGAGAAACAAGGAGGAGCAGAAGGGAGGGAGTACCCTTAGAGGTGAAAACTATGTTCACTGTCTTGATTGTAGTGATGCTTTCACAGGTATACACATACGTCAAAACCTACCAGTCATACACTTTAAATATGTGCAGTGTACTGAATGTGAATTGCACCTCAAGAACATAAAATAAATGTGTTCTGATATAAGACATCATAAAATTAATAGTTAACAGAACAATAAGTTTTTAGGGAAAAAAGAAAACAAAACTTTAGAAATATATAATAAATGACTTAAAACTAAATTAAAAATTTAATACCAAAGTTAAATATCAAATAGATCTAGCTCAAAGGAGAATTAAGAACTTTAAAATACAGCATTAAGAAATTCTGCCATGGACACAGAAATGAAAAGATAGAAAATATTACAAGAGGTTAGTAGATGTGAATACAAGAAGGAAAAAGCTCAACAATGGCTAGAACAGGAAAAGAGAAAGAAGGGAAAATAAATATCTGGATGCATACAGGACATAAACCTGTAGTTCAAGAAGTATAAGAAGTCCACAGAAATATACAGGAAATTCACAGCAAAACGCATAATGGTAAAACTATAGAGGCCCAAGGTCAAATGTAAAATCTCAAAGTAGTCAAAAAGAGAAGATAGCCTGCAACGAAAAACAATGAGATAAATACTCATCCACAGAGGAAATGGAGCAAAACACAGAATAACATCTCAAAATTTCTGAGGAAAGTTAACTTTCAAGGAATAATGTTATACACAGTAAAATAAGTGAGAGAGAAAAATAATGTCTGCAAAAACCTAAGAGAATGTGTTGCTCACAGACTGTGATGATAGAACAACTTAAGAGACTTTGGAAGAAAGAAAACTGAAGCTGAAAGCAATGACTGGGATTCACAAAGAAGTGGTAAGTAAAGAAAAATGGAGACCATGTCCATCGAGCCAAGGAAACGTTCCCTGCATGAGACAACAAGAAAAGCATTCCTAAATTCATCAGTATCCAAACAAGTTAGCATTAAATTACCAGAAAAAATAGCGTATAATTAAGGGAGGAATTTTATTAAACCAGAATAGTTGCTGGAGGAAAGTAAGGACAATAATCAACTTAAAATTTTTCTAATCATAAATATGTGATACAATGTTAATAGTATTACTAAAGATTGCAAAAGTGATTATTTGTTGTAAAAGGGTAGACATTTTAAAATGGGAACAATTTAATCATCCAAGAGAAAATGGGAAAGAATGAAAAAAAAAGCAAAGGCATCCCAAAGGTCAACAGAAAGCACCAAATAAGAAAGTGTAAAGAAGCTCAGCTGTCTTAGTGCAGCAAATGGAAATGGACTCAGCCCACCAATTGAGGGATCGACTCTCAGAGAGGATTTTTAAAGAAGTTCAGCTATATGCCATTTATAAGAGCCCTAAATAAAACAGAATGACCCAGAAAATTATATGAGAAAGAAAAATTTGTATCAGGATTCTGTTGTAACTATGTTAATATCATAGGATAGAGTTTCAGTAAAGGCATTGTTAAGGCTAAGAAGTTTCAGTCTAGAAAGACCCAGTGAGATCTATTCAATCTACACACATCACTCAAAACACAGACATTAAAAGTAGACAGAATTACATGGAAAAGTCGGTAGAGATGAAAATCGCACTACACATCAAAATTTCCAAGACGCAGGTAAACAATAATTCTAAGAAAACTATTTAAATGCAAACTTTAAAATAACAGAAAAAAATTGATTAGTTTAGCGTCCGAGTCGAGAAGTTGAAATGATAAAGAGTAACCCTAAAAAGATTAAAATAAGAAAATGATTAATATTTTTTTTGAGATGGAGTCTCACTCTTGTTGCCCAGGCTGGAGTGCAGTGGTGTGATCTTAGCTCATGGCACCCTTTGTCTCTCAGGTTCAAACGATTTTCCTGCCTCAGCCTCCTGAGTAGCTGGGATTACAGGCATGTGCCACCACACCCGACTAATTTGGTATTTTTAGTAGAGACGGGGTTTCTCCATGTTGGTCAGGCTGGTCTCCAACTCCTGACCTCAGGTTATCCGCCCACCTTGGCCTTACAAGAAAATGATTAACTTAAGAACAGGAATAACACAATAGGGAGCAAAAATAAAATTGGGAAGACTAACCTAATTAAACCTAGTTCTTTAGATGAAGCAATGAAATGGCATGTTTGTTTAAGAAAAGTGAGAAAAGTCCTCCAAACAGATATATGCATCTGGATTATAAAGGAGGTGGATGACTAGAGTGGGAAGTATTATAACTACATGCCAATAATGTAGTCATATTTATAGAGAGAACTTTATAGAGAGAATTATAAGTATAGATAGAACTTTATATGTTTATATATATACATATATACACACATCCTACAATATCTATAAATCATCAATTTCCTATAACTTTATATATATATTAGGACAAATGGGACAATAACAAAACTGACTCAAGAAAAAATAGAATTCTGATTTTATGTGTTTAAAATGTTTTATACTTTATATGTTTTAATTATTTAAAACATTATTTTCACTTATTATTTTAAATTATTCTTTTAAAAGATAAGCAGAGTGCTTTTTGGGAACGACGCCCAGGTGAGACACAGCGGTTGCTCCCGGGATGAGGGCGGGATGCATCCTGAAGGGGGTCCCACTGCTCCGCCTGAAGGATGAGGAGGAACCAGCGAGTTCCTGGTGGAGGAGGAAAGACAGACAGGACATGAGACAGAAGCAGGTGGGGCTGTGCAGACCAGCGGACACTGGGGGCTGCAGGAGTTCTGTTCTGCGGCGGCTCTCCTGGCAGTGGAGGTTTGGAAAGATGGAACTGAAGTGTGGTTCTTTAGAGGGGCTTCACCTACTGAGGGATTTGGGGTGTCTGCGAGGCACTGGAGTGTCCACTGGGAGTTTCAGAGACAGGCCTGAGGTGCCACCTCCTCCCTGCGCGGCTGGGTTCCAGTGGGTCAGCCTGCCCTGCTGACTGTGAACTGACTTCCTCTCTGGGGAAATGTTTCTTTCCTGTGATGTGACCCGGGAACCTATCCTGGGGGATTCAGGTCTCTTATTGCAATGCACAGTTCTTCCTGCTGCACAGTCCTTCCTTCCCGACCGAGCGGGCACCTGCCTGCACAGCAGGGCAGCAAGCATCCCCCAAGCACGAGGCTGGCTCATGCCCCAAAGGGCATCTCCCTGAGGCCTTACAACAGCCCCATGGGCAAGCCCCTGCTAATACCATCCTTTACCCATGAGGAGGCATTCACCTGTGACCTACTTGCTCAGGGTCACCCAAGAATTGCAGAGACAAGATTTTAAACCTTGACTTGCACTCCAGAGCCTGCAGGCTTGAAAACAGGATGGTCTCATTATCTTGGTATGAGATCATCACCGTGTTAAATGGGCAGTGGCTGCTGCTTCTGTAGTTTGTCTCGGCAATTCTAGAGAAAGTCTGTTAGACTGTTGGTTTGCAGTTCTGGCTAAAAGGGAAGTTTGGGTCTGCCAGGAAAACATGAGATTACTTAGGTATGCCATGGGGTCAGTAAGGCTTTAACTTTGTTGCTACTGCTTTACTCAGGCATGGGCTGTTGAGACATACTGAGTTCTGAGAAGCAAAGGCCATAATAGAGAGGGCGACTTCTCATTATAATTGCATATAGTGAAAATAAAAAAATAGAAACAGCTAACGCTGCAACAGTTTGAACAACAAAATAGGTAGGGATATGTGAAATTCTACTATTGCCTGAATTTTTCTTTAAATCTCAAACTGTTCTAAGGAATAAAGCATGTTAAAAACAAACCAACAAAAACTGACTGCATCTAAAATCCATATAATTTTAGCATTCATGTTAGAGCCACTGCCAGTGAGAAAAGTAGTTTTATTTCATTTTTATTTTATTTCACGGAAACAGTTGAGAAAGGTGCTTTGCTAACTTTATCTGCTTAGTAGTTTTAACAATGGCAAAGTAAATTCTGAAATTTGGTTTAAAAACATTGCTCCCTGGTGGACACCTTCTATACCAGCTGCCATCTGAAAATGAATTTTCACAGCTTAGTTTTAAGCACCTTGAAAATGGGAGTTTATAATGGAAGTGCTGACACATTCGGAACGAGAGTGGTGTGAATGCACTGCCATAATTTATAATGTCAGCCCATATTCCAACGCTTTCTCTATGTACTGTGCTGTGAACAAATAGGCGAGGAAGGCACTGCAGTGAATTATTGTGCAATTAATCATTTGACCATGAGGGATTCATTTACTAATTAAAAACGCAAAAAGAGTAAATTGAAATAACCAGTGACTACTAAATCACGTCTTCTGAAGCATCAGCTGCATTGTAATAAATCACAATGTATCCATCAGAGTCATGCCCATTTGGACACCTGCACTTCAAGGCTGCCTAAAGCATTAGCTCCTTCCGTGTGCAGATTCTCTTCATATACACATAGCAATATCTACACAGACCTATGATACATATACATACACATGCATATATACCAACATATATAACTACATGTATGTAAACTGACTTCCTCTCTGGGGAAATGTAAATTACATGTATGTATGTGTATAGATTATATATGTGTATATATATGCATATGCATTCATGCAAATTTAAATTCTAAAAAATAAAAATGGTCAAAGTAAAACTGGGAGTAAAAAAGTCATATGGAATATAGAAGAATAGATATGTATAAGAACATGGTGGCCTTATACTTTACGTCTCATTGCTTATAGCATGTTGTTTATATTACCTTGGTGCTTACACTTGATATCTTGATTCTTTTGGTACAGGTTATCCCCTGAGCACCCTCACTAACCCCTATTCTATTCAACTATTATTTGCACACTTTCCTATTTTCCCAAATTACCGACTTCTGATTACTTAAATACCAGGCAGTATAGCAAGATAAAATTAGAAAACTTCACACTTTTCAACACAACTTTGAGATTTTCTCATGAAAAATTTAGTGAAGCCACAAAGCGAGTCGGTCCCAGGCAGAAATGATCGTTTTGTCACTCTCTCAGATGTGTCTGGTGTCCTTGGATTCTCTTTTAGTTCACTCTCTCTCTTACACTAGGAGACGGGGAAGATGGAGAGAAGCTGCCTCTATTTTCCAGGTTTAGCTGCCCCGCAGGACAAGGAAGTTCTTGCAATCTCTTGAATGGTGCAAGAGAAACAGAGACCATAGGAGAGGAAGGAGGTGAGCCAGGGACAGGGGGAGGCAAGTGGGCCAGTATTGTTTAAATGGAACATCTCAAGTGTGGACAGAAGGAATGTTGTGGACGCTGAAGGCAGAGATGAGCACAGATGCCACAGGGTGGGAGAAGTGAGTGGCACTGGCACCCACCAGGAAGGTGTGGCTGTGTGGCTCTGAGGCTGCCTACCTCCTCCCACTCTGACACTTTCTCCTCACTGAGGTTGGGAAGTCCATGCAATGCTAGAAAAAAGTCTTCTGACGGCTGACGGTGCAGCAAGGGAAAGCATTCTTATCAAGGGGGAAACAAGATGTGTGGCCCCGTTTCACAGTACGTGAGCAAGCGTTTCCATGCCCTACCAAGGGAAGGTGCTACCAACATGAATTCACTCCATGCGTGTGCATTGAGCACCTGCGGTCTGCCAGACATGGGTTAGGAGCTCCGAACACAGTGGGCCAAACAGACAGGGCTCAGCCCTGCTAGTCCTTTTTATTCCCGAAGGGAATGATGTAAAATAAATGAGAGGGAGTGTGGGAGGGAGAGAGAGAGACGTTTTATCATGTGATGATGCCAGTTGTGTAAACATAATTTTGGGAGTAACCTGAAGTATAATATTGACTAAGTGCTTGGATTTTGGAGTTAGACAGACGGGAATTGAAAACTCAGCCCTGCACTTCCCAAGTGGCTGACCTGGGGTTATGGATGGAACTTGGTTATCTGGCCTGCATGCTCCTCAACTGTTCAGCGGAGCTGTGACAACCCCAGCAGAAGGAGTTTCAGTGAGGATTAAAGCAGATAATGTTACAAAAGCCTAGTTCACATGTGACACTGATAGGTGATCAATAAATAATAACGATTATTTTAAGCTACATTGTATCTTCCTTTATTATTAATAACTTACATGTTCAAAAATTTTACTCTTTCTGCTTTTTTTTAGTGCAGCACAAATTTTAATTTACCTCATTGTCCATTTTCTGCTTTCTTTCCCAGTTTCACTACAAACGTTTACTCATGTTTACTGTCCTCTTTGTTTCCTCTCTCCTCCCTCCTGACAGTGACTCTTCCGTGCAATACACAGCACAATAAAAAGTCCATTAGTGTTAGTTGAGTGAGTAAAAATTATTGTATATAAGGAGAACTGCAGACAAAATGTACTTAGACTTTTAAAAATCCTTTGATAAGGTTTTATACCAAATGTTATTAAGTATTCATTTATCAAGGGACTGGGGAACTGATTTTTGTGGATCCCTGGAGATCTTGGTTAGAATAAACGTTACTTAATAGCTTTTTAGATGATCTGAAGGAGCAGATAGTTTTTGTTTCGTTTGTTTGTTTTAGTTTTAAATAATACTCTGCCCTTCTGACCAGCACTTTATGACTGTAAAACACAAAATGAGAGTCAGGAAGCATGGATTCTGGTTTGAGAATTTCTCTGGTGAAATGCAAGTCATTTCAGTTTAGGAGCATCACTTTTTATCTGTGAGATGAGAAAGGTGAAGTAGAGAAGATTTTAGCAGCAGAAACTCCCTTTTCCAAATTAATTCATATTTATACAACATGTCTCTGCTTGAAGTTCTTGGGAAGCTTAAAGCTGTGGGGAGAAGCCACAGTGGAACTGGAGCATCCTGGGTCTCCCACCAGCCTCTGTATATGGAGCACACCCAATTCTGTCCCTTCTGTCCGTTCCTCTGAGTGCTGGATCTCAGAATCTGGCTTTTCTACTGAGAGCACCGCCTTTAAATCTCTCAGGAAGCTCAAATCCAGTTGTCCACGATTAAGTCTGTAATCTCTCTTCACACGCACCATGTCCGTATGTCCTCTAAATTCCTACAGTTGGGAATGTCATTACCCAGGGCAAGGTGGATTCAGGCTTTGTGGAACATAAATCTTTATTAATTTGATACAGCGGATTTCCAAGGAAAATGGTACAAAAGCATGAATAAAATATATAGTGCAGGGCCTTCAAAAAGGACACATTCCAGCCATGCCTCTGGGCAAGCCAGACCCTCGGGCACTGGGCACTGTCTTTACTTTCTCCATATCCCATCATCTGCCAGTACTCCTCATAATTGCTCCAACACTTCATGTATCTTAGGTCCAGTTGAAGAGCCTCTCTTCACCCCTCCACTGTCACTAGATACTCCTACATGGCTCTCTCATAGAGTTAATTAATTGCCCTGTCTAGTAATTGCCGAGTTGCTTCTTGCTTCTAGTCATTGTGCACTCCTTAGGAGTAAACTCTCGATCTTATATCCACAGTGTACATGAGAGACATGGACAGCACTCAGTGAATGTTGAAAATGTTGAATAAATGTGTCGGAAAAAAAGTATCAGATACCTTTCAGTGATAGGATGTACTATAGGGAGGGGGGTGTATTTATGGAGAAACAACTTAGGTATCTGCTTGATGCCAGGTGTGTGACCTTAAATATAATTTATGCAATCTATAGAAAATTTATGGAAAATATAATTTTACATAATTAAATGAACTAAATTATATATATTTATGTTCAAGTACTGTGGAACTATAGTAAATACTAAGGGAAAATAGGATGGTTTCAAAAAGCCAGTTTCATACCTTTGGATTGATAATACAGAGAATAGCAAGGTGTCTTGAAGGAGAGATGCTAGAGAAATATTTTTAATTATTATTGATGGAAGGGGGAGATAACTGAGGCAATGATATTTTGGTGGTTTTATTTTATTACAAAATTGACATAGGCCAGGCACTGTGGATCATGCCTATAATCCCAGCGCTTTGGGAGGCCGAGGTGGGCAGACCATGAGGTCAGGAGTTCAAGAGCAGTCTGGCCAACATAGTGAAATCCCGTCTCTACTACAAATACAAAAAATTAGCCTGGCGTGGTGGCGGGCACCTATAATCCCAACTACTCGGGAGGCTGAGGCAGGAGAATCGTGTGAACCCAGGAGGCTGAGGTTGCAGTGAGCCAAGATTGTACCACTGCACTCCAGCCTGGGCGACAGTATGAAACTCTGTCGAAAAAAAAGAAAAAAAAAAGACATAAAGAGAGAACGCAGGTTTGGCCTAAGAACAGAGTGACCTGTGGCATGAATTCTGATGATGGTGCTAGAATGAGTTCTATTCTAAGTGAGCAGAATGGTGTGGGACATGGTGATTAATAGGGGAATGAGACTACCTGGAAACTAGGAAAGTTGTGTTCATGCTCTTTCAAAGTACTAGTGAGGAAAACTGTGACAAGAATGCATATTACTTTATGTAACTATTATGTAGGCACTGTATAAAAAGAACACTATGCAGTCTTTTATGATGTCAGACTAGTAGATGATGATGAAACTATATTGACAAGCAAAATTTATATCAAGGTAATTCAGCGTAAACAAATCTGCTTAAGAGTAAGATGTGCTTCAGTACCACTTAGACCATCTGACCTAAAATTTAATTACAGTCATGTGTTGCTACTTTAGTTAAAGTAGCTGTCAGAGGAATTGGTCAAAATTACATCACTAGGAAGTAGATCTACGATAGCAAGCAAATAAAGATCCTTAAAAAGTAGAGTCATATAAGAAACCTTCCCTGACTTATTTCTCTTATACTATATTTCACCATCTAATATAGAATATAATGTGCTTATTTACATTTTTGTGACCTGTATTCCTCCCACTAGAAGTTAAGATGGTACACTCAATGGCTGGGTGATGAAGCATGTAAAAAATGAATGAATCAGGGAAAGTCTCTGGCTTCCTGGAGCTCAGCATCTAGTGATTATATGAACAACTCTGTTGCATGACAGGCAAGAAAGTGTGGGTGTCAGGGACTCCCCAGGGTTGCCTGTGCCTGCAGTCGACTGTGTGGCATGGACCACTGACTGCTCACCAGTCATGGTGATGCTGGAATAAAAACTCTAGGATGGAGTGCGAATAAAACAGGAGGAAGATCACGCCTAGAAAAAGCTGCCATAGAGCCAGAACTCAGCCAAGACAAGTCAGGAAAGCTACATGTGGTCAGCAAGCTGATACATGGGTCAGAAAGCCAGTTATTGGCCAGCCTTTTGTGCTGGCTGGATAGCAGTACTAAGCAATATTTCCTAGGTGTTATATTCATGATGGCTTTTCCTCCTTATAGTGTCCAGATATTTTAAAATTTTGAGATCAGAGAAGCGTTAAATTATCTGATCTAAGTAATACCTTCATTGAAAAATATTTTTAAAAATTAGCACATCATTAGAAGATGGAACATTTAAAATGACAGTATTGAAAACAGAACAGGGTAAAATAAAAGCATTCGTTCTTAAAGTCTGCAGGACACAAATAGATAGAGAAATATTTATTTATATGTTATTTAGGAAAAACAGAAAAAGGTGCTTACTCGAAGACCTAAAAACAGCACTAGTTTTCAAGACAGTGGATTTAAGCGAGTCACTGATCAAACTGGGGAATATATGCAAAGAGTTTGGGGCCCTAAGCTTTTTAGCATCAAGAGATGGAACTTGCCCCAGGGTCTTGAGAGGGTTAATATATCTCGTCAACCTCCCCACCCCCAAAAGAGCAATTTCTTCCTTTCTCTGCCACACCATTAGGTTCACATACGCCCCTTCCATGTATCTTCAAATGGTCCCCAAAGGGGTGACTTAATAGATCTGAAAACACTAAACACCAAACTTATGAAATGCCTTTTAAGCGTAAGTGCACTCTCTATTTTTCTAAACAATTGTTCTTCTCAAGCACACTGTGCGTTTCTTACCATCTATGAAGCTTATGATCAGGACAAATGGAAGTTAACATTTCCAAGACACCACTGATCCTCTGGAGAGTGTATTGCTGCTAACTTAATAAAATCAGTTATTGTTTTTGACCTTGATATGCTTTTTTTTTTCTGAATTATCAAAATTGATCCTCCTAATGGTGCTCGATCTTTAGTGTTACTGATACTTATCAATTGTAATTTGGTCAAATATGGATTTATGCCCATTGATGGCAAATGATGACAGTCATGACTTGACCATTTTCTGCTAATGCTAGCATTTCCAATCCACATTCCATTTTATAGTGTCAGTAGCAAATGCGACTTACTGTAACAATACAGTAATATTTGCTTGTCTCTGTGAAGATCAGCATTATTTCTACTGCAGTATAAAATATATAAAATACCTTCTAAACTACGTTCAATTGAATTCAATTCAATTCACCAAATCCTTATGAAGACGGAGAATGCTGCATATTCCAAACCCTGGGAGTCTGTGCGTACTGCAGCCCCAGTGCGGGGTGGACACTGGGTTGCTGCACGTTATTACATCCAAAGAGGAGGATCGCCAGCCTCTTTTCAAATTTTAGTGTCAGTATTGGCTTTTCTTTTACCAGAAAAGCTTCAATGTACTTGAAACATCACAAAGAAATAAATTTAAAGTAAATGTATAGAACTTAAAATAATGAAATGAATCATTAACACAAGTGACTGTTACATTAATTTTATTCCCCAAAGCAAGTGTACTTCTGGTTGTGACATGATTGCCTCTAAAACCAATTGACAAATTTTCATTATATTATTTTAAATGAAAGCAAAAATAATAATGTTCAAAACCAAGGCAGGCTGAAAGAAACCTCAGGCTCTAGGTTCAGATTATTTTGCTTTCACATGTGACTATGGGAAAATGACCTGCCTGTTTCTGTTCCTTGGATTCGTTATGAAGAAAAGGGACAGGAATTAGTACTCATTGAGCAAATGCTATGTCCTAGGTACTGTGATAAACAATTCAGATACATGCTGTTTTATTTAGCAAGAACTCTTGCACTGGCTTTTTAAGTAAAACAGCATTTTCCTCAATTTTTATAATAATAATATTGAGACTCTAAATGGTTACTAATATGCACCTTCCTTTAGTAAGTGTCAGCGTTGGTATTCAAATGCAGAGAATTTTGTTTCAAATACCAAGAAAGAGTAAAATAATTACTTTTCTCATCCCTTAAATGCAACCAAGATAAAAATAAAAGGTGATGTGAGGAGTACATATTCTTAATATGAAAGGTTTTATAATTTCTTAATAGTTTCATGCTCTTAATAGTATATTAAATCCTTAAAAAAACCAAAAAGACTTGATTAGATATTGGCCTTAAAGTACTGCTTTTTAATGTTATAGATATACCAGTTATCACAACTAATTTTAGATTCATACAATGAAAATCTACCCTTTGATTTTATGTTTTAACATATATTCTCTTTCTTACTGTTGTCCATTACAAATTTGTAGTTTAAAAAAAAATCAGAATATTCAGTAACTTAGAGGATTTGGATGTTCTAACTTTTCTCTCACTCACAGGTGATGCAGAAAAAAGAAAAACAGTGAGAGATGACCTCTTCCTTGCTTCAGGGTCCCCACACCACAGGAAAAGCTTGGAGTAGTCTGGAAACAGGCAGGATGCCCATCAGGGAAATTCAGAAACCACAATGCTTCAACTACCTTGTTTCTTAAAGAGTAGGAAAAGCTCTTTTCTTCTCACCTTTCCCAATCTTTTAGAATCACCACCACCACCAGTACCACCATCACCAATACTACCACCACCATCATCACTACCACCACCACCACCACCAATACCATCATCATTACCATCAACACCATCACCACCACCAATACCACCACCACCAACACCAAAGACACCACTGCCACTGCCACCCACACCATCACTACAAACCCCACCACCACAAACAATACATTCACCATTACCATCAGCACCACCACCACCAATACCATCATCACCAATACTACCACCACCACTGCCAACATCAACACCATTACCAATACCACCATTGCTAATACCATCACCAACAATACCAACATCAACACCAGCACCACCAATAACACTATCACCCCAACAACTCCAACACCACCACCACGAGCACCCCAAAAACACTATCACCCCAACAACTCCAATACCACTGCCAACACCAGCACCCCCAATAACACTATCACCCCAACTCCAACACCACCACCACGAGCACCCCCAAACAACAATATCACCCCAACAACTCCAATACCACCGCCAACACTAGCACCCCCAACAACATTATCACCACAACAACTCCAACACCAACGCCAACACCAGCAGCCCCAATAACACTATCACCCCAACAACCCCAACACCACCGCCAACACCAGCACCACCAATTACACTATCACTCCAACAACTCCAACACCACTGCCAACACCAGCACCCCAAAAACACTATCACCCCAACAACTCCAACACCACTGCCAACACCAGCACCGCAAAAACACTATCACCCCAACAACTCCAACACCACCACCACCAGCACCCCCAATAACACTATCACCCCAACAACTCCAACACCACCACCAACACCAGCACCACCAATAACACTATCACCCCAACAACTCCAACACCACCACCACCAGCAGCACCCCCAATAACACTATCACCCCAACAACTCCAACACCACTGCCAACACCAGCACCCCCAATAACACTATCACCCCAACAACTCCAACACCACCACCACGAGCACCCCCAATAACACTATCACCTCAACAACTCCAACCCCACTGCCAACACCAGCACCCCCAATAACACTATCACCCCAACAACTCCAACACCACCACCACCAGCACCCCAAAAACACTATCACCCCAACAACTCCAACACCACCGCCAACACCAGCACCCCCAATAACACTATCACCCCAACAACTCCAACATCACTGCCAACACCAGCACCCCCAATAACACTATCACCCCAACAACTCCAACACCACTGCCAACACCAGCACCACCTTCACCAACACCAACACCTCCCTCCAATCCCCTAAGCTATTTAAGTAAGTTTTTAAAAAAGGACTTGCTCTAACTTCAGGGCTTCATTCTGTATCACTATGAATTTTGCTCCTTATTATCATTCTTCCTTTCTAGACATCTCGCACTAAACCTATTGAGTTGAAAAGGTATTTATTTTGCATTTATCATCAATTTTCACTAACATGACTTCTTGGGTAAGTGATTTTGCTGTCATTTAATCTGTTGGATGTGGATTACATCTCTGCAAAATAAAGAGACTTACCTGGGCCCTTTGAGCTCTGAAACTAAGATTCGTGCTTGTCATGTGTCTCAACATTGTTATGCTTTGTGAAGACTATAAATTTAAATTATTCATTAAATGTCTCCAGGCACTTTTTAAAGTATTTTAAAAGTACTTCTAAAGTATTATACGGCACTAAAACAATGGCCAATCCAATGAGTTGATGTAAAATATATTGACATTTCAAAATTAGTAATTGTGCTATACATATGCCTACATTGTGATATACAGAATTATATGTGTATTTGGAGTTCCTTTTGTAAAAGAACGGGAACTACATTTTAGCATGCATTGCTTGTCATATGCGTTTCCTAATGCTAATGCACATGCGTGTGCATACACACACACACACACATCCTCATGCTCTGATAAAGGATAGAGACAGCCAAAGGCACTAGGTGCTCAGACTTTTCAAAGGTAGTTGTTGGCCATATCTTTATCATCTAGTTATGAAGAAGGTCAGATGGCTGATAAATGCTATGGCCTGTAACCAGTACTTTAAATTTAGTGTAAATCTTAACATGTAGCATGCAAATGCAAACTGAATTTGCACAGGTAAATTGTATGTTTAGATGAGGTCACTGGGATTGTGCTTTCACTGGTGTCTCTTGAAGGGCCAAGAGTCCACAGAGGAGCCGTTTAGTAGCTATCTGCCATCCCCACTTGTCTTCAAATATTGTGATTTAGATAGAACTCTAATGCATGAGAGCAACTTGTCCCCAGAGCATTTTTTCAGAATATAAATTAAGTGATATTATAACAGAAGCCCCCTCTTAGCTCAGCATAATGAATATGAACCATCATGGACTCCTGACCAGGGTTATGGTATGAGAATGAATTACTCTATTAACATCTCTTTTAAGTAGCATTAGTGATAATAAATGAAGAGATTTAATGGAATACTGATAATATTATTCATGCAAAAATAGCACTCTTTATCTTGTTAAAACAATTAAAATGTGCTTTGAGGATATTTTACACCAAAGAAATATGATGCTCGAGAGTGCTTATTGCATGTAGCTGAATACATCAGCATTAGCCAGTAATGCCGATAATCTGATAAAAATCGAAAAGCTGATTTGTATGCTATGCTAATTCAGGATCATCTTCTTGGCCTTAGGTACCTCCCAAATGCTGCATACGATTGCAGCAAGCTTTAGCGGTGATATTAGATTAAATTCAATCCTTTTGCTTATAATTTTTTCAAAGAAATTACATCCACCGTTCTTCAGCATAAACCCTCTTTAGCTGCTAAGCAGCCTGTAATATTGCATTTTAAGCCTGGTATATTGCTGTTTTCTTCCCAGACATATTTAAGCTTTGTTTTCAGTTATAGATCATCTTATCCCAATCATGTAAATCCACAAAAACCAAAGATCACTTATTTGTGTTGATGGTGACCTTATTCTGAGCACAACATTAAAACTAACTTTGTGCAACTCTGAAATCTAGTATTCTTCAGTAAATAAACACAGTAAAACCTTCTTATAACACAGCTTGCCATTCAATGGATTAGAGCATTTTGTAAATAAATTGTATTCACCATAAGAAGTACTCAACAAAGGCAAGTCTGCTAAGGAGAACAGGCTTTCCTTCGGAGTGATGAAAAAGTTCCGGAACTAGATGTGTGTTTTAAATGTCAGTGATTTAACATTTTAAAATGGCTAAGTTGTTAAATTGTATTTTCTATAAATTTGATCACAATTTAAAAAGTGACTAAGTTGTGACAGAGCCGTAAGGCCCTGGAAGCCACGTCACTCCCGTCGTCAGGACCCATGTCTCACTGACTTATTTGCCACCTGCAAGAGTTCAAAGTCAGATACATCTTCATAACGTTTTGTGAGACACAGCCTTCCTTCCTGATGGAGTTACTACGTGAAGTTTTCACATTATAGCACCACTTTGGAAGACCACCTATCTCCCATTCTTTCCCAGCACGCAGTTCCCTATACACAGTACACACAGATAGTTTTCAACTTTACTCAGAAGGAATTATAGTTTTTTCCCATAAATGTGCAAAGGAAAGTTATGGGTCTAAAGCATTTTTCCTATTAGAGGTGACTAAGGGTATTGTTATAATTATATATTAAGATTATTATTTTATTACTTCCATTAATAACTTTATCTAATTTGTAAGAAACAATTATCTTTATAATATTGCAAACATGTTGCACTGGGGAATTTTCCTATTTTAATTAAGACCTCAGCAAAGCCCAGTAAATAGCAATGCCTGTCCCATTTCCATCAGCTTTTTAATCATGCTTGGCATGGTCGTTTTCACTTGATCCCACATAAATTTTGCACGTGTGAGTGGAGCTGAAGTTTCAAGAGAGAGATCAGGTTTTGCATTACTGACAAAACACATATTTACATGAATGAGCCTCCTTGACTGTATGTAATTAGTCAGGGGACAGGAGACTAATAGGATCCTCAAAGTAAGGACTTAAAGTATTAGTTTCTCATATTTATGATTAATGCTTCTCTTACCAGCCCAGAGCCCTGAACAGGATCACGTAAAGCATGTTGGGTTAAATCATTCTTTGTTACAACATACAGACATTCGACTTCAGTGGAGCCCAAAGGAGAATCTTTACTTGCTATTTATACCCTCATCAGAAATAAGCCACCTCAGAGCCGAGAAGGTTGCTTTTTATTATTCGTCCTTCAAATGACTTCCTAAGTATTTGACACACTTGAAATATGCCCTTCCCATTAGCTGAAGGCGAATTACCATACAGATGTTCATCTTAATGTTGTTTTTCAAATGGCCTGCAATTGCATGGTTTGTTACATCCCTACATCTTCATTTATTTCTTGGTAGAGAACTCCCATACATCATATACAAATAATAAGCATCGAAACAACGGAGGCCTTACAGCGTGCACATTGATTACTAGAGCCTGAATGAATAATAGAATTCATATTTGGCATCAGTAAACTGCAAAAGTCCCCTTGGCCGGAGGGTGGGTGCATAAAGTCACCCTGGTTAGGAACCACTAAGTTAAACTATTTCAAGAGATTCCTAAACTTCTCAGTTCATGATGCCTTAATGTTGCAGCAATTTTCTCAAAGAGCCCACAGGCCAAAAGAAACAGGTAACCATTGTGTATACTGAATACTTAGATCCAAACAACTTAATTAGTATTTATATCCTAACTCTGTGGCTGTTTGTTTGAAAGAAAAATAAACAAACATGGAAAGAAAAAAGTAAGAATTTGATTCCATTCTTTTTTTTTTTTTTTTTTTTTTTGAGGCAGAGTCTCGCTCTGTCGCCCAGGCTGGAGTGCAGTGGCGCGATCTCCGCTCGCTGCAAGCTCCGCCTCCCGGGTTCACGCCATTCTCCGGCCTCAGCCTCCCGAGTAGCTGGGACTACAGGCGCCCGCCACCACGCCTGGCTAATTTTTTTTTTTATATATATTTTTAGTAGAGACGGGGTTGATTCCATTCTTAACTGCAAATATTGATGAATGGAATTTGTTGTATGTGTCATGCACTGCACAACTTCTCAAACCTCAGACCAGACACCACTACCTTCATAGTCAGTCACGTGGATTTCCATGTGGTACATGACTTCCAATGTGACAACCACCCAAATCCAGCTTCCCAAAAATATGAAGCCACTGACCATGGTGAAACACCATCCAGTGTGTAAACTGAACTGGCTCGAGGTCAGATTTACATGGTGTGTGACAGACGTCAAGATCACTACCTTTTCTCTAAAGTGTAAGATGTGCTGCAGTGCCCCGAGTCACATTGACGCACATCATGAGAACTGCAAAATAAACCATCTCCAGGGTGTCACCCAACTCTTACAATGGTGTTTGTGCACTGCAATGCTTCCAGAACCATTTGTTGTGTGTCCACTACACACGGTATGTCTGATTGGATGTTGAGGTTTGAGAAGTTTTGCAGCACACAACACATGAAACAATCCTATTTATCAATATTTGCAGTTACGAATGGAAAGCACATATGGGCTCTGTCTTCAGAGACTCACAGCAGCATGCTGGGACACGCACCCTAGCTGTTTTAGCATAACATGTGATGGTTGTATTGAAATGTGCCACAGACAGATAATTCTGGTGGTGGGGAGAAGCTCAGATTGGAGCAATTATCTTGAGGTTTGCTGATAGTCCAGGGATACTGAGGAGGTAACAGATGCTGAACATGGTGGGGGTAAACGTGTCTGCCCAATCTTCAGGGAAAAGAAAAATCAGAGGTGGCTTTCTAGCTGGAGCAACCAGATGATCCCTTGCTGAGAATAAGAACATAATAGATGAGGGTATATTTAGTTGGGTCCAGAGAAGAGGGGGAAATAGAAAACTATAGTTCAGGTGTTTCTTGGACACCCAGGTAAAGGTTCCTGATGGAATCTTAAAATATGAATGTGAAGCCATGGGAATGAACGGGATCTACAGCAAGGGTAAGAAGGAGGGCTCGGGATCAGAAGCCAGGTGGACATTCCTGAAGGAGACAGAGAGGGGCTGAAGAGTAGTAGCTTAGGGGCAGGAGAAGAGCCCAAGAACCAGGAGGGAGTGGTAAGCGAATCATGAGTCTCTCATTGCATGAACAAAGAGCCACATTACAGAGAGGTAATTTCTTCACCTCGCAGAGCTGGTGAGTGACCGAACTGAGACAAGCCAAGGCTGGGTTATCCAAAGTCTGCAGTTTCCCTGTAAACTACCCTTTTACTATGTCAATGGGGGATGGAGGAGGCTGAGAAATAAACAGAGATCAGTATATGAAGACTGTGTTAGAAAAAAAAAATAGAAGCAAAATAATGGACAGAAGTGAGTGTCCCTCATGAGGCAAGGTCTGTGGACCTGGGCAGGCTCTGTCCTCTGCTCACCCAGGCTCACCTAGCACCTAAGAAAGTGGTCAATGCAAAATAAAACCTAAATAAATGTTCACCAAATAAAGTAATTGACATCAAGTGGCCAGTTGTGTCATAAACGCTTCATTATCACATTTAATCCTGATAACACATCACAAGGTTCACCCACTTTAGGGATAAAATGGAACTTGGGGAGATCCTGTGACTTCCCCATAGTCAAACACAGCCCCCGGCTGGCGAACTCAGGCCAGTCTAGATTCAAAACTTATTCTCTTAAGTAGAGCGTGCAATCACCTCCAAACTATGCCGCCGCAGCTGAAAAGCATGTGCACGCTATACACAGACAATTTACAGGAGAAGAAGCCGAATAAGTGTTACACATCCAAGCTCTACTCTAACAAAATAAAGCACAACTTAACCAAAAGGATGATTTTTAAGGGTTTAAATCTCTATCCTGTTATTTTACAGGAAATATATCGTCTTGTCAAAGGTCAGCAGAAACATTCACTGTTGGTGAAATGGTTGCACGAGGCAATACAGGTTTTAGAGGGTAATTTGACAATAAATAGATATCAAAAGTTTAAAAACATGCAAACATCCCAACAATTTTACTTATAAAAACTTACCTACAGTGATTTTCATCTCAGGCTCATCTATAGTCTTAGAAAAAAGAATAGAAAGAAACAATCTAAATGGAATATGAATACAGTTTCACTGGTTGATTAATTGTACAGCCACTCACATTTTTGTGAAAAGGAGGACTAAATTCGTGATATCCTGTTAAGTAAAACATAAAAGTAAGAAGCAATTTCATTTTCTCTTTGTGGAAAGAAGATTGTGTCTTATGCTGAAGTGAAAGGAAGTTTATACTAAAATGTATAACTCTGGGGCCATGGGGTGTTCTGTAAAGGTCTGAATGGTAAGCAGGAGAGGGCAGACCGTGATGTTCGACCTCATTCCAAAGAGCCTAGTGAAGAATGTTCTGGAAGAGGTGGCAGTGTAGCTGAAGGGAGGGGAGTAGTCAGAAGGAAGTGTGTGGATGTGATTGTTGTCACGATGGGTGAGAGGTGACACAGCATGTCCCTAAGATTGGTGAAAGAAACCAGACAGGGAAACACAATGCCTTCCCCAGGGGCTGAATAATTCTCCCTCCCCTGGCTCCTGAGCCATATAAAAAAGAAAACTAACTGTTGATACCAGTATAGTCTTGGGGCTATCAAGTGTGGCTTTCACAATCTAAAAGTCCCTTTAAAAAGTTTCAGGATTCTTAATCTATAATTTCAGCTGTTGGACACAGGGCTCAAAGGAAAATGGATTTAAATAAAATTAGAAACAGCTCAGGCACAGCGGCTCATGCCCATAATCCCAGCAGTTTGGGAGGCTGAGGCGGGCAGATCACTTGAGGTCAGGAGTTTGAGGCCAGCCTGGCCAACATGGTGAAACCCCGTCTCTACTAAAAATACACACACACACACACACACAAAAATTAGCCAGGTGTGGTGGCGGGTACCTATAATCCCAGCTACTCAGGAGGCTGAGGCAGGAGAATCGCTTGACCTCAGGTGGCAGAGGTTGCAGTGAGCTGAGATCGTGCCACTGCACTCCAGCATGGGCAACAGAGTGAGTGAGACTCTGTCTCAAAAAAAAAAAAAAAGGAGAAAAGAAAAGAAACAACCAGAACTGTCAGAGCTGTTTTCCACATTGTTAGTTTCTATACCCAGATGAGGGACAGGGATAATGTGTGTGTATATATACACTGAAATATGAATAAGTCTATTAGAGAATGACTGAATTAGTGAATGCCATTAAATCCCGGTTGTCATAATCTGCTGGGGCTACTGTAACAAAATACCATATGCTAGGTGGCTTTAACAACAGTTCTGGAGGCTGGATGTCCTAGATCAAGGTCTGGCAGAGTTGCTTTCCAGTGAGGGCTCTCTTCCTGGCTTGCAGACGGCCACCTTCTCGCTGCATCCTCCAGTGAGGGCTCTCTTCCTGGCTTGCAGACGGCCACCTTCTCGCTGCATCCTCCAGTGAGTGCTCTCTTCCTGGCTTGCAGACGGCCACCTTCTTGCTGCATCCTCCAGTGAGGGCTCTCTTCCTGGCTTGCAGACGGCCACCTTCTCGCTGCATCCTCCAGTGAGGGCTCTCTTCCTGGCTTGCAGATGGCCACCTTCTTGCTGCATCCTCACATGGCAGAGAAGAGAGCTGACACCTTCTGGCATCTCTTCTGATAAGGGCACTACTCCCATTGACATGGGGCCCACCCTCATAACATCATCTAACACGAACTGCCTCCCTCCCAAAGACCCCACCTCCAAACACCCTCACATCAGGGCTTAGGGCTCCAGCATGTGAACTTTGGGGAGACAAGTTGAGTCCATAACACTGGTGATCAGCTCCACAAAGTATTGAATTTCATAGTTAGGTATTTTTCAAAATGAAACTGTATGAAAGCTGACAGAATGTATAGTGTTTACCTTTAAGAATAATTCCTTATCTGTATGAAATAATTAAGAAAAGATGATAGGGAAGTTAAAGCCAATTTCTTCAAGTTCTATTTGTGATTACCTAATTTCATTAGGTTGGAAAAATATTGCATGTGTATTGAGGGAGTTTTCTGTGAAATGTTATTGAAATATCCTAACTTTTAATAAAACAAAGACCTACAGATTTTGTTAGGGGTTGGAAATGGGCATATTTTATTGGTTGGCACGAGATAACAAAAGCATTACTGACACTGTACTCCAGATGATTTGGTTCATGAAAATTATCTCCTTAAGAATATGTGTCACACTTCTCATGGTGGATTTTGAGAGTCACAAATCAGGAAATAAGAGATAAATAATCCCATTCTACTTAAAATCCTGCTCACAGCAGAGGGGGTGGGGTGGAAAGGGAGAGGAGAGGGTAAATGTTGAGGAACTGACTCTCCTCTGAGGGACAGGAGCCTGGGCTGGAGCTGGCAATCACCTAAAGGACTTGAGCTCTGGTCCAGGGCTGCTGAGGCTGGCGTGGCTGGCACGATATTTATCCTCCCAGCATGATGCACAAGGCCAGCTTAACTCCCATATGTCTGGGGTCAACTCTCAGAGGCTAGGGGATTCCCTCGACCCTCTCCAGTGGAGGAGAAGAGAGAGGTTCGAGGCTGGAATAAGAGACCAGGGCCAGGGCCATGCCCATCCAGTGTCTGCATTCCATTTGTTCACTCTTCCTCCTGCTGGTGGTCTGCAGCCAAGGGTTGACCCACTCAGGTCAGAGAATTGGGTTTGGCCAAGTGTAAATCAGGATTTGTTCCAGAAACAACTCTTCAAAGTAGTATGCTTCATCTTTTCATAATATACCAACATCACTTTAAAAAGTAATATGGTTCAAAAAAACCAAATTGAAAACAGAACCCTTTGCTCAGTGTTGCCAGGATTCCAGAAACGCTGTGCCATGGTGCCAGGCCATCTCTGTTTTGTGTGGGTCATACAACCCCAGCCCTCTGCACTCGTGGCTTGTTGATGGCATGCTCAGCACGTGTTTATTTGCGCATGGAATGATTCTCATGGAGCATGACAATGTCACGCGTAGATCACACAACTTGGGGGATTTCTAGATTTTTTAAAAAGTGTGTTTGGGCTGTTGCAACACCCAAAGGCTGCGAGCAGCAGGGGGTATTGGGAAAGCAGGAGTGCCTCAGGCATGGGCTGAATTCTGTCCCCCGAATTCCCAGGTTGAAGGCCTGACCCCCAGTACCTCAGAAGGCAGCTGTATTTGGAGATAGGGCTGTTAAAGTGGTGGGTAAGTTAAAGTGAAGCTGTTGGTAGGGGCCCATAGCCAGTCTGGCTGGTGTCCTTATGAGAAGGGAACTCTGGGCACACAGAGTCACCAAGGGCGGCACACAGAGGAAAGGCTATGTGCAGGTGCAGCTAGCGGGTGCCATCCACAAGCCAAGGAGAGAGGCTACAGGGAAACCAGCCCCACAGCACCACGAGCTTGGACTTTCAGCCTTCGGAACTGAGAAAATAAATTTGTTTGGGAGGCTGAGGCAGGTGGATTGTTTGAGTCCAGGAGTTCCAGACCAGCCTGGGCAACATGGTGAAACCCTGTCTCTAGAAAAAATGCAAAATACTGGCCAGGTGTGGTGGTGTGCATCTGTGGTCCCAGCTCCTCAGGAGGCTGAGAGGGGAGGATCATCTTAACCTGGGAGGTCAAGGCTACAGTGAGCTGAGGTTGCACCACTGCACTCAGACTGGTCGACAGAAAGAGACCCTGACTCGAATAAATAAATGAATAAATAAGTAGATTTCTGTTGTTTAAGCTGCCCAGTCTGTGCTATTTTATTATGGAAGAGCAAGCAGACTAAGACAGCTAGTTTGCATGCTAGTACTTACAGAAGAGGGCAGAGACCTTAGCTGAGCCCAGTGAGTCCACAGAATCACAGAGCAACAGTGCTTAAGGACCTGGGGTATCACTTGCCTCAGTGCCCACATGGTGCAGTGAAGCCTGAAGGTATAAGCCCTGTGGAAGCCAGGACCTCGACTCAGGTCTCCAAACTCCCTCCCCAGGGTGCTCTTCATAACGAGGTGCACTGGGCTGAATAGGGTCCCCAGAAACACGCACACCCAGAAGCTGTGCATGTAACCTAATTAGAAACAAGGTCTGCACACATGCAGTTGGGTTAAGAGGAGGTCATGCTGGATGAGGCTGGCCCTAAATCCAATCATGGGGATGTCTTCCAAAAAGAGGTGCAGAGTGAAGGATGAGGACATGGGATTATAGAGGCAGAGATGGCAGGGATGCAGCCAGGAGCCAAGGAATGCCAGGGATCAGACCACTGGGGGTCCTGGACAGTGGAGGAAATGAGGAAGGGTCAACCCCAAAGCCTCTGGAGGGACCACAGCACTACTGACATGGGGAAGTCAGACTTCTGGCCTGCAGAACAAGGAGAGGATACATTCCTGTTGTTTTACGGCTCCCAGATTGTGGCACCTTGTTATGACAGCCTTAGGAAGCCAGGATACCTGGGAAATTCACAAATAATCAGAATTCGGCCTCACAGTGCCCGATGCCAAGCTCCAGGTAGAGCTGCAGCCCGATGGCTTGGTGGCCTCATCACGCCCACACAACCCTGCCCGTGAGCTTGTTTCATCAGGTGGTTTGGATATAGGGGACACGGCTCCCACAGACACACTCCTTGTGTGCATTGATAAGTGACACCTGTGTGCCCGAGGGAAGTGACCTGAGTGGTCCCTCATAGTCCTCATTCCTTGAGCCCCAGCCCCCTTCAACCTTCCCAGTGCGACCTGACCTCCTTTCTGTCAGACAAGCCGGCTCCCCTCTCAAGTCATGCTCACAGCTCAGTGCAGTCATGCGACTTGGCCTCTGCATCAGAAGAACACAGCCCACCTTTGGCTCTGAGCTGGCCAAAGTGCTCGCCACCACAGCCTGGGAGGGTCCAGCTCTCGGCTGGCAGTGCCCGATGAGAGGCACAGCGTCTTTGCCCAGCTGTGCTGACAACTGTGTCTTCCCTCCCAGGAGCAGCTTCTGGGAGGGGCAGATGTCGATGACTGTGTTCCCTCCCAGGGGCAGATGCTGGAGGCTGTCTTCCCTCCCAGGAGCAGGTCTTGGTGGATGTCTTCCCTCCCAGAGGCAGATGCTGGTGGCTGTCTTCCCTCCCAGGGGCAGATGCTGGAGGCTGTCTTCCCTCCCAGGAGCAGGTCCTGGTGGATATCTTCCCTCCCAGGGGCAGATGCTGGAGGCTGTCTTCCCTCCCAGGAGCAGGTCCTGGTGGATATCTTCCCTCCCAAGGGCAGATGCTGGAGGCTGTCTTCCCTCCCAGGAGCAGGTCCTGGTGGATATCTTCCCTCCCAGGGGCAGATGCTGGAGGCTGTCTTCCCTCCCAGGAGCAGGTCCTGGTGGATATCTTCCCTCCCAGGGGCAGATGCTGGTGGCTGTCTTCCCTCCCAGGAGCAGCTCCTGGAGGCTGTCTTCCCTCCCAGGGGCAGATGCTGGTGGCTGTCTTCCCTCCCAGAGGCAGATGCTGGTGGCTGTCTTCCCTCCCAGGGGCAGGTGCTGGTGGATGTCTTCTCTCCCAGGAACAGTTCCTGGAGGCTGTCTTCCCTCCCAGGGGCAGATGCAGATGCTGGTGGCTGGCTTTCTTCCCAGGGGCAGGTGCTGGAGGCTGTCTTCCCTCCCAGGGGCAGGTGCTGGTGGCTGTCTTCCCTCCCAGGGGCAGATGCTGGTGGCTGTCTTCCCTCCCAGGGGCAGGTGCTGGTGGATGTCTTCTCTCCCAGGAACAGTTCCTGGAGGCTGTCTTCCCTCCCAGGGGCAGATGCAGATGCTGGAGGCTGTCTTCCCTCCCAGGGGCAGATGCAGATGCTGGTGGCTGTCTTCCCTCCCAGGAGCAGGTCCTTGTCTGTCTGCCTGCTCCGCCACCTCTAGTCTTGATTACCCCCATGATTCTGTAACCCACTGTCTTCTGGGAAGTTATCTTCTATTTAAATTAGCTTGAGTTGATTTCTGAGGTTTGCAATGACAAATCCTGATGGAAACAAACTGGAAGCCTGGTTCTTCCTTTTTATTCTATTTCAGGCTGTCTGTGACTGGCATAGGGAAACAGGGCTGTTTAGGATATCTTGTTTTCCTTCCATGTGGAGCAGGGCTCTGATTTCCCTGAGTACAGTGGCATGGCTCAGGGACAGCTTTTGAACATGTCTGCCCCGGTGCCAGTGATCTCAGTATCTCATTATTTATGCTGACATCATAACCCTACTCTTTAGTAACCCAAGTGCTTACTGATTACTTTTATTAGCAATTCTCCGTGGTGGCACCATGAGAAGAGTGAGGAGCATGGTTCCCACCTCCCCCATCCAGGTAAGAAGCTGGGGAAAGGCCGGGTGGACATGGCCCCCACACCCTTGGAGGTGAAATGCTGACTAGGAGGGCTGCAAACCAGATGATGGCTGAGTGGCTCTGGGGGCTTCATCCAGCCTGTGGACTGCCCCATCTGTCCCTTCCCAGACCTTTTCTGGTGCAAACACCATGATCTTGGCTGTGAGGTTTGCATCACTTTTCCTTGAGAATCCTGACTCAAGACAGTGGCCTTCAATCTATTGTTATCCAGAGACTCTGTGGATCTACATTTCCAAAGAAAAGTCATGTTTAGAGGTGTAAAAAACGGAGCATTTGTTTATTTTTATAAGGACAGCAACGTGGCCAGTTTAGGGTGCGCTTAACCAAGCCACTTATAATATTTTGCATGAAGAAAGAGTAATTAGAACAGCAAGTAACATCGCGGGAAATCCTAGATCACAGGGGATGCCAGAGGGTTCTTGTGTCTATCAGCATTGATTTGAGGCTTGCGATGTGTCAAGGAGAAACAATGTCGTGTGGAAGCGCAACGAGGCAGAGTGCACGCTTATGGATTTCAAGCATGCCTGGATATTTGCCGTTGGAAATTTCTATTTGGGATGCCAAAGACATTGTGGGTAGCCACTATGTTGCAACGTGACCCCACACAGCCTCCCTTTTTGTCCTTGGCTTAGCCTACAAATGCCATTCCACTTATGAAAACAAAGAGGCTGGAATGTGAGGGGAGTCAAAGATAAAAGAGATTCTGCCAAGGAATGGAAATGAAAAAACACAAAAGCAAGCCCATTTGGTGCCTGATACGTTGGGTTACATCCCAGCCAGCAGAATCAGAAATCTTGAATTTGGTCCTGCTGCCTGGGGTGTGTATTCAGAGATGTCCTCCTCAATTGGCCATTTGGACTTAGACACAAGAGTAGAAGCAGCTCTAACGAACCATTCTCTGTATTTTTCCCAAAGACATTTTATATTTGAGCAGACACAAAAACACAAATTTGCAGTTTAATGTCAAACAATTAGAAGAATCTGTTTATGATAGATTCTAGAGCACAGGATTGCAAAACATGGGCACCCTCACTAAGCCCAGTGAAATAGAAATTCCAAACACAAGCGGAATTTGGCGTCTCAACCCATCCTCAGAAATCTACGTAAACAAAGTTCTGTCCCATTACATTTTAGGGGGAATCTTTCATTTTTTTGGTGTACATTTATAGGTCGTTACAGAAAATAAACCAATAGTTACAAGATTATGAATGATTTGATGAAGATGCCTTCATATCAAGTCTTGTTCACCATAAATTGGCATATGAGATTCATTAAAAAGCTACAATATGATTAATGAAGATGGTCACCAGGTACAACAGGAGGGAGAAGCGAAATATAAACCAGAAATACAATTTACAATTAAATTAGGAGGCAATATTAATCAAATGGAAGAGGCAGCTAATTAGAAGAACAAGTATGAACTGAGTGTTCAGTTGCATTTTAGTGTCTGGTAGACTCTGAGCTGAAGACTGAAGCGGCTCTGGGAAGCAGCAGAACACAGATTATAATCGCCTTGAGGTCGTGGGTTGAATTTTTCTTGCCCTTTCATCCTTTTTTAAATATTTTTCCAGCTTTCCTTTGTTGTACGTTACATTTTAAAAGTATTTTTAGAATTGGAATTTTAGTCTGCATGGCCATTCTGGGTAAGTGTTTCTGGCTTTGATCTCCCTCTCTTGAACAAGAGTCCCATGGTGAATTTTGCCCATCCCAGCCCAGGCCAGGCTAGGGCATCTGCAGGAGTGATGCTGGGGCTTTGTTGATGAGCCACCCAGCGAGCCAAGAACCACGGATCCTTTCGTTTCCTCATCAGCCTCCTTTACCTTTGTTGTCCAGTCTTTGGGCAGATATATTACGGAAATGCAGCATAGAGTCTGAAGTTGTTTTGTTTTCTTCCAGTGTTTTTGCTGGCTGAGTGACCGATCCCGGCCCTAAGTCATGTGGCCCCTCATGCGTTGTTCTGTGCCTCCGTTCTCCTTGGGGACCGCCATCCTGGGTGCCTCTGCCTGCTCCTCAGCACCCAGCAGCATGCTGGCTCCATCGGGGCTCACGGAGCTGCATTTCTCTGGTGCGGGAGGAGCTGTATCTCTTCTCTGAGTCTTTATATAATCTCATGCACTCTCCTTCTGCTTCGGAGCAGGGCAGAACTCAAAATTAGAACTTACTGCTCTGACTTGACCATATTTTAGACACCATAAAAAATTAAACTAATTCTATAATATAAGCAATCAATGTTAGCAATTGGATACTTATGCTTTCTAAAAGTTGTCATGGGGATGAATGTCCCAACCTTCCTTTCCCAACATTATTGAGAAGGGACATTTCAGAGCTTCTATTTCTTCCTTCAGTGATATTCTAGTAGAGGGTAGTTTTCCCCTCCCTAATTGAATGCGTGGTCCAGAGTCATAGTCTTTGCCTTAGAATTCACAACTAAATGAACAGCGTGCTGTCGGAGACTTCAGGAGGGGCCTGATGCATCTAGCACGAGAAAGGTCATTCACATGAACTTAATGAATTCTGATATTCAAAACTGATATTAATGGCCTTTGATACTGCAAATGTGGAAGCTTATTACTTTTGATGATGATTAAATTGATTGGAATTTGTAGCAATATATTTTATGTATATTCTTAAGTCAGAAAGAAACTAGGACTGATAGGCTATCTTGAAAAGCCATTGCTTGAATGGTAGTTTATTTGGAAATAAACAAAGAATAACACACTTGATATAGTAAATGGCTCTATAAAGCTTTTCATTTTTTGAAGTGCAATTCTTTTATGCTCAAGAGCCATTTTAGGATAGAAGTAGCTAAACATACACATTTAATACAATAATTACACGTCTCAGAACACTGATGGAGAAGGACAAGTAGACTTAAGAAAGTATCTGCTTCTATTAGCGATTTGGCGCCTTCATGGAGAGTCACCATCGTTAAATTCTTCACCCAAAGCCCGAGCCCTCCCCCGTCAGAGCTGCTCCATATTTCTCTCAGAAATGCACAGCACAGCCTCATTCTTTTTGTCTAATCACATGAGGAAAATGTCCACTTCAAAGAGGGAAAACAAAACAAACAAATTAAAAAAAAACACACTTTCTATTTGGCAAATGAGTCCCTCCATTTACATTCGGTTTCCAGTAAGAGGTAATTTCTAATCAGCCTGGCATGAAAACAAAGCAAAATACATACATATAAAGCTTCAATAGTTTTAGGATGCTGGTTAGCTGAAATTTAAATAAACACGACCATTATAACTAATTCACGAAAAAGGACTGAAAGCAATTTGTGGCAGGGCTGTGTGGACAGCACGGTGTGATGCGATTAATTTGAACTGGGCAGGGTGTGGGGGGCAGGGCCAGCAGGGCCCTGGCGAGGCTGCCTGGGGAGGGTGGCACAGCTGTGCGGGGTGGGGTGGCTGGTGCTGGATGGCGGCTGCAGATGCAGGACCCATCTGCCTTTTATATACGTGCCTGATGGAGGCACACGCCATGGCTCTCCTCCCAGAAATGGCGCACAGGGCCTGTGCCAAAAGCAAGGGCCCAGGCACCTTCTGTGAGCCTAGCATGGCTGTGGGGTCAGAGCATCTTGTACTGGGATGTACCAGGAGCAAGCGGGGGGCAGGAGGCACCGAGAGCCACTGCCCAAAGTGTTTATTGGCACTGTAGTTTCTCATGAAAATCCTGCACTTGTATACAGAGATTAAACAAATTACCAAAAAATGGATGGTGGATGGTGGAACCCAAGTTTCTCACTGTTGGAGGGGGTGGTTAGAGGAAAAGATAGATGATTGATAGAAGATAGACAGATAGAGAATAGATAATTAATAGATATGCATGGTTGATACATGGAGTTAGATAATAGAGAAAGGTAGATGAAAGATAAACAGAGGCAAATGTACAGATAGAGGTAAATGTATAGACAGAGATAGAAATAGATAATATATAGGCAGACAGACAAAGAGATACATAGATAGATATAGATGATAGATAATCAATACAGATAGATATGGATAGTTGATACATAGAGATAGATAATAGAGAAAGGTAGATGACAGATAAATAGAGGTAAATGTATAGATAGAGATAGAAATAGATGATATATAGACAGACAGAGAGATAGGTAGGTAGATAGAGATAGACTGATAGACCAATAGATAGATGATAGATAGATAGATAGATAGATAGATAGATAGATAGATAGATGATAATTAGAGATTGAGGCATGTACACAGGTAGGCTTACATGCACATATCACAATGTGAAGGAGAGGGGTAGATCCTGAAAAAACCATCAGACCAATTCCAGTTAAAGGCCATTCTACAAAATACGTGACTGGTATCTCTCAAAACTGTCAAGGCCATCAAGAACAAGGTAAGTCTGAGAAACTCTCACAGCAAAGAAGAGCTGAAGGAGCCACCACAACTAGGAATGAGGTGGTGTCCTTGGTGGGATCCCGGACCAGGAAGAGGCATTAGGGAAAACCTAATGAAATCCAGATAAAGGTGAGCGTAGCTGACACCACTGGCCCAGTGCCGCTTCCTCAGTTGTGGCAAACACACCCTCATAACCAGAGGCGCTGACAACAGGAGGGTGGGGTGGAGGCTAGGCAGGTCCTCTTCCAACATTTTGGTAAATCTAAAGTTATCTTACAGTTAATGATGTAGTTAAATAGGACAAAAGTGAGGCTTTAAAGGAACCACCTGCCTCTGATTGGTCTTTGCTCTTTCTCCTGCCATGCCGTTCTCCTACCGGGTTCTACCGTGACCCTTTATTCCCATTTTAGGGTTGTGTGGAGTCTTCTATAGTAGTGGCTGGAATGCTGTGTGGCCTGAGGGGGTTCCTCCTTTTTGTCTCTGTCCCATAGAAAGGGTAGGCTGATGCAGGCAGAGAGATTCTGTGTCTTCCCTGAATCCTGCTCCTGCTGGAAGGGAGTGCTTTCCAGAATGCCCGCCGAGCGCCTGGTCCAGGGGATGCACATGGAGAGGAATTCTCCTACATGATCAGGGCCGAACTCTGCTCCTGCTGGAGGGGCAGCGCTTTCCAGAATGCCCACCGAGCGCCTGGTCCAGGGGCCGTGCATGGAAAGGAATTCTCCTACATGATCAAGGCTGAATCCTGCTCCTGCTCCATGGAGGGGCAGCGTTTTCCTGAATGCCCACCAAACACCTGGTTCAGGGGCCGTGCACAGAGAGGAATGCTCCAACATGATCTAGGCTGAGTGCACCCCCCACTTCCTCCTGCTGCATCTCAAACCTTCTAAGGCAGCTCATGCATTAAGCATTCCTTGTTGTCACACACCAGGGCATCTCGACATTTTAATTCTGCCTCAAACACCCCCAATTTATAATTCTCAGAGTTGTGTTTGAACTTTCTTTTCATGTTGGCTTAGAACCCGTGTGTCTGGTCTTTGTAACTTTCTAGAAGATTTAGGAAACTGCAGTGTATTCTGAAAAGTCAGGGACATGAAACATTCTTAGTTGAAATAGAAGGGAAAACAGTTAATTTCACTCTGGATGACAGTTTTTCAGGGAACAATGGTCTCCGGGAGTTGACACGAGGCAGTAATGAGTGAGGGAGAGGAGAACTGAGTCACAGCTGCACGGGCAATCACCGGAGAACATCCACTCTCTTCCAGCCAGAATACCATTAATACGTGTGTCAGCGCGGAGTGAATCTCGCCGGGTGCACGCCGCGCTGAGTCCAGGAGAGAAAATGAAGAGCATCCTCGGGGACAGGCCTTTCTTTTTCTCCGGGAGTCTTCATTATTCAGGCATTGTGATAGTTTTCCTTTATTTGTGTAAAGATTAAATTGCACATGATTTCTAATGTTTCTGCTACTCCAACTGTCATAGGTCGACGACCTTCATGCACGCGAGATAATAGATACATCGTCTGCGGTTCCGGCCAGTGCTGTTCTCCACAGCTCAGTACTTCCCCATTGTTACAAGTCGAAAGCAATTAAATAAAAATACAAGACAAGGCACCTCAAGGATGTTGAGGGTTTCATATATATCTTTACGTGACCGCATTTTAGCACAATCCCACGCGATTATCTAGTGGAATGCTGAGAATCAGAAATGATTCGTGGGGGAAGTGAGATGTTATTGAAGAAGACATTCCCTGGAAGAATCACAGCATTGGAGCCTGGTGGGCAAACTCCCCACGTCTGAAACTTTCCATCAAGAGACTTCCGATGAACCCCACTGTATTGGTGGCATCTCTAGTTTGCTCAGCTTCCTCCTTGGCTACCCTATCCGCACATAAATTGAATGAATATTCAGGAAGCCCATCCTTGAAAAAAACAGAACAGAAAAATAATGGATAGTCCCACCTTTTCGGTGATTGTTCATAGGGTAGGGGTGTCTCTAATCATTGTTATTTCAGAAGAAAGGCCCTGATGAATCACACATAGTTACCTGGGGAGTAGACTTCAAAGGTTACATTTTAAAAAGTACCTAACTCAGAAAAAATGGTAGTGCCATTACGGATAATAATCCCTTTTTGTTGAACCAAGAATTTTTCTGATGTCCCTGTCTTTTCCCGCTGCTAACACCTTCCCCTTCCCACCCTATGAGAGTGGAAAGAGATTCTTTCTATTGATTGATCACCTCCCTGGATGACCTTGAATCCAACTTTCCTCAAATCCCTGTCGGCTAATGCCAGCTGTCTCTCTCCAGCGGGGGTCACGTCCGCTCTCCAGAAGAGATTTCGGAAACATTCGACGTTCATAAAACTGCAGTCCTGCCCCTCCAGGACTCAGGATCCTCATGTCTGTTTCTGCTGTCATATGTAGGTTGGCGTCCAGACAAGATGCCCCTCCTCCACCACTGGCCTCCCCCGGGGCCCAGAGAGAAGGGGTGGCCCTGGGAGCCCTGCCTGGTCCAGGTCGCAGCGATTCTCCTCCAGCCCTGACAATGCCATGGGTGGCAGAGCAAAGGGACCTCGGAACCCCGCTTCTCCTCTAAGCTCGTGGACATCTGGAGCAGTGCCTGTCTGCAGTCCCTGGGGAGATGCAGCCCCAGGGCTCCAGGATTGGGGTGCTCCACGCCTCCTAGTCTCTGTCACACAAGCCATTCCCGCTACACATGTCCAGGACAGGACCTCCGAATACTCTGATCAAAGCAGCCCACCCTCCTTGCCCCTGTCAATAACTCACAGACGTACTCCCCAAACCTCCTTATCACGGTGAGCCTCCAGGGGACCCCCCACCCCGTGGCATCCATATTTGTGACCCTCTACCACACTGAGTAGGGCTGACTGCCGAAGTGAGTGAGGGCAACCGGGCCATGAAGCTACCCCAGCTTCTGCCTCACTCTAACTTAGCTCCTGGCTCCGGGGGAGGCCAGAGGACACCCCAGCACCGCTAGAGAGACACAGGGATGGTGAGGAATGGGACATCCAACAGTAGCCCTCCAGGTGACCCCCTCGAAGCAGATCCTGGCTAAGCCTCCGATGGCTGCAGTCTGGCCAGCATGTTGATAGCAGCTTCCCCAAAGAGCTGCTCCAGAATCACAGGTTCAGCTGATCCCAAACCTGTGACCCACAGAAACGAACGAGAAGACAGCTATTCATCATCGCTGTTTTGGCACGTCGTGTCTGGGGGCAGTTTGTTGAGCAGCCGTCCAAGGCTAAAGCACAGGCCGCACATTCTCATATCATTCCCATCTGAGGCCGGTGCCAGGGACCACCCAGGCCCGGGCCGCTCATCCCAAGGGGCTGTGTGTCTGTGTCCCAAGAAGGGGGGACTCCATTCCTGCCCTCCCTACTTCCCCACACCCAGCTTCCCCCTGCACCCTGGAGCTCGCAGGCTTTTATGAGCTAAATTCCCTTCATCCAGAACCTCTTCCTCAAATTATTCACCTTCTCACGCTGGCGAAAACCTGGTGTTCAGCTGAAGACCCGGCTCTTCCTGGACTGGCTTCTCCCATCACTCCTGTCACTCCCCTTTCCTACCCCTACGCATTTCTACCCTGTTATCTTTTCTTCTTGGTTGAGCCTCTAGCTTTGAAAAGTATGCCATTCACTTCACCACCTACCAAGTCACACTTCTTCCTGAAGACCTTACCCCTGGTCCCCATGAACTTCCTCCCGTGTTACTTGTATTATATGCGTGGGGTCACCATGAACTTCCTCCCGTATTGTTTCTATAATATGCGTGGAGTCGCCATGAACTTCCTCCCGTGTTGCTTCTATAATATGCGTGGGGTCGCCATGAACTTCCTCCCGTATTGTTTCCATAATATGCGTGGGGTCGCCATGAACTTCCTCCCGTGTTGCTTCCATAATATGCGTGGGGTCGCCATGAACTTCCTCCCGTGTTGTTTCTATAATATGCGTGGAGTCGCCATGAACTTCCTCCCGTGTTGCTTCTATAATAAGCGTGGGGTCGCCATGAACTTCCTCCCGTATTGCTTCCATAATATGCGTGGGGTCGCCATGAACTTCCTCCCGTGTTGCTTCCATAATATGCGTGGGGTCGCCATGAACTTCCTCCCGTGTTGCTTCTATAATACGCGTGGAGTTACCATGAACTTCCTCCCGTATTGCTTCTATAATACGCGTGGGGTCACCATGAACTTCCTCCTGTGTTGCTTCTATAATATGCGTGGGGTCGCCATGAACTTCCTCTCATATTGCTTCTATAATATTTGTGGGGGTCACAGGATTCACATAGATGAGGCGCCCCCCTCTTGATCTCCTAGTTTACAACAACTTAACTTTCTATAACTTAAATTACTGATGAAGATTCCTTTCTGTATTGTGGGGTAATATGATATACATTGGTCACTCCTACAAGGATTTATAAAGCAGTTTGAAATAGGAGGAGATTTGAAATGTTTCAAGCGCAGTCATCTATATGGAGACCCTGCTAAGGAACACCTGCAGCTGCACACAGATAAGACGCTGCAGCAAGGAAGGATACCCTCGAGAAGATGGTGCTGCACCCACGGGGCCTCGTGCCTCAGCAGAGCTGTGTGTGGGCAGGTGGTGTAGAATGGGACTCCAGTGTAGCACGGCATGCAAGAGTGGAAGCCCTGATGCTGCCCCCACGGACTCTGAGCACACACTTTACTGTTCTGTTCTCGAAAGTCGCGCTCCTGAATCCTCACCTGGCTGCTCTGAGTCCTCCTCTCCTCAGACCTCCTCAGTGGGCACCAGTCCTCGATTTCAACTTCTCAGGGAAACTGTGTTGGCACCACCTATTAGGGTCATCTCTGCTCATGCTCCTTCTGAGTCGCCTCATGCTGAACAGCTCAGGAATAAAGGAAAGAACAAAATATCAACTGAGCAAAATGGTGAGAGACCTCCCTGGCAAAGATCAGGCCCCCCAGCAGCCTGCACATCCAAAAGATGGTAAGCCCTGGCTGCATGTTTCAGACCAAAGATCAGGATCCCAGCCCCAGTGTGGGCTGGTGCTCTGCCAAAAAGGGCCTGCTGCTTATGAAGGTGAACATAGGATTTTGGCAAGAGAAAAAACAACAGCAGGGGCTCTCAAACACCCCCACACCAACCAAGGAGCATTAGGCAATATTTGGGGGTGTTGAAAAAATGGTTGCCACAACTGGAATAGAGGGATGCTGCTGTCTTGTATGGGGAGGTCAGGGACATGGCTACACCCTGACCAGGACGGTCCCTGCCACAGAGAATTAACCAGCCGGGAAAGCAGGAAAGGTGGGTAAGCAGAATGGTGAGATTAATTAGAGGTGCAAATAGAAAGACTGATGATTGATATTTGAAGTCTTAAAGGCATTATGTAGTCTAAAGATGGTAGATACTGGACTCAGTTTCCACTCTCTGAGCATTACATAGACTTCTCAAATGTCACATACGCACGCTCACTAGGTGAACACCAACCTCAGTGAGAGGCTCCTGGGGATGCAGGAGTCATGAATTCAACGGGAATGAGACAATCACAACAAAAACCCTCACTGAACTCGAATTCAAAAAGCTCCAAAAGGTGCTCAACATCAGTAAAGGTCGGAGACACGAAGGAAAACCACACTGAGTAAACTGGCACACCCATTAGGATGGCAACTATTAAAAACACAAAAACAGAAAGGAGCAAGTGTTGCAAAGGTGTGGAGAACTGGAGGCCTGGTGTCCCGCAGGGGTGCTGTCAGACGCGGCCGTGGCTGGGGAGGATCCCATGGAGCTCTGTTTCACAGCCCTGCGAATACACTTCATGCTACTAAGATGCACTGAAAACTGGTTCAGCTGTTAAGATTTATGTTATGTATTTTTTAGCATAATAAAAATACGCTCCTCATTTGATGAAGATGAAAAATAACATTAGAGACCTAAAACACTTTAGGTAGAGGCTTTTAACCCCGTGGTCAAAAAGACCTGGGTGGGAATCACTTTGTTTTTGTTCCTTTTTTTTTTATTTTTTTGTTTTTGAGATGGAGTCTCGCTCTGTTGCCAGGCTGGAGTGCGGTGGCGTGATCTCGGCTCACTGCAAGCTCCGCCTCCCAGGCTCTAGCGATTCCCCTGCCTCAGCCTCCCCAGTAGCTGGAACTGCAGGCACCCGCCACCATGCTGGGCTAATTTTTTGTATTTTAGTAGAGATGGGGTTTCACCATGTTGGCCAGGGTGGTCTTCATCTCCTGACCTCATGATCCACCCGCCTCTGCCTCCCAAAGTGCTGGGATTACAAGTGTGAGACACTGCGCCCAGCCAGGAATCACTTTTTTATTCATTTGACAAATCTTTGTAGAGTGGCAGCAGTTTTAGGTCACTGTGTTTTGCACTAGAAATATCATCATCAAATGAAAAGGACTTTTTTCTGTCTTTAAGAACTTACAGTCCTGTAAGTGGGTGGGACTTTGTATAACCATCTCCCACATATTCACTTAAACGTGGGGCAAGTGCTAGCAGAGGAGAGGACTAGAGCAGTAGGGCAGCTGGCACCAGACAGATCCTATAAGCTGGGATGTGGAGAGTTACTAGGATGAAAGTAAAGGTGGGAAAGGGAAGAATGGAGGTCGAGGGCATTCGAGATGAAGGAATCTGTAGCACAAGGTTCCAGAGTAGGGGACCACAGGGCTGTGGAGTACGGAGATAAGGCTGGGGTATCCTGGCCAAGGGTAAAAGTGGTACAAAATGAAATCACTGAGCTCAGAAGAGCCTGCTCTAGGTCCATAAAGACACATGCACGTGTGTGGTCATCACAGCATAAAGACACTTGCATGTGTATGTCTGTTGGAGCATAAAGACACAGGCACCTGTGTTTCCACAGCATAAAGACACAGGCATGTGTATGTCCACCGCAGCATAAAGACACAGGCACCTGTGTGTCCGCAGCATAAAGACACAGGCATGTGTGTGTCCACCGCAGCATAAAGACACAGGCACATGTGTGTCCGTCACAGCGTAAGGACACAGGCATGTGTGTGTCCATTGCAGTATAAAGACACGTGCACATGAGTGTCCATGGCAGCATAAAGACTCATGCACACATAAGTCCATCACAGCATAAAGACACTTGCATGTGTGTGTCCGTCAGAGCATAAACACACATGCACATGTGTGTTCATCACAGTATAAAGACACATGCACACATATGTCCATCACAGCATAAAGACACTTGCATGCATATGTCTGTCACAGCACTTTTCACAATAGCAAAATCATGGAATCACCCTAAATGTCCATCAACAGAAGATTGGGTGCAGAAAATGTGGTACATATACACCATGGAATACTACATAGCCATGAAGAAGAACAAAATTATGTCCTCTTCAGTAACATGGGAGGAACCAGAGGCCATTATCCTTAGAAACCTAATCCAGGAACAGAAAATCAAATACTGTACATTCTCACAAATGGGAGCTAAGCTTTGACTATTCATAGACACGGGTACTGGAGGGTGGAGGGTGGGAAGAGAAAGAGGAGTGGCAAACTATCTATTAGGTACTAGGCTTATTACCTGGATGACAAAATATTCTGTACACCAAACTGTGACACACAAGTTACCTATATCACAAGCCTGCACATGTACCTCTGAAACTGAAATAAAATTTAAGAATAAATAATAAATTTAAATAACTAGGGGAGAAAAGAATGTTGGGCTTTATCTTAAGAAATGGGCAAGCCATTGAAGGTTTTTAAGCAAAGCAGAGGTGTGAACAGGCTTACCTTTTTACCAGGGAATTCCCTGTTAGCAGGGAGGAGACCAGAACGGCGGTGTGCGTGAGAATTGGGGTGTGCAGCAGGCAGACGTGAATGAGGAGAGAACATCGTGGAGGCTGCCGTGTGCCTGCAGAAGCCTCTCACAGGTTCCCAGTGACTCAGTTCAAGGTTTTATGCTTATAGAAGCTTCAAACTTTCCTCTAGAAGCGGGGACAGAGTCCTGGTTAGTGGGATTCCTCATATGAAATGCACATCTCAAGAGAGCACGATCACTTCCAAATAGAGGCTTTCGGGAGAGAATTTTAAAATAGATTTTTGCCTTCATTATAAATTCCCGATTCACAATTCAATTACATACTTTCCTTTTCTGGGAAGTAACAAGCTTCTTTTGTTTTACATTTTCCCTTAGAGTTTTAAGTGTGTTTTGATCATTTGTAGACGTTTGTAAGGAAGGGCAGGATAGACGTCTGGGTCTTTGTCACAGTGAAGGATCCTGGTCAGGAGCTCTTGGCATTCCCATGCCTTCCTAGAGCGACTTTTCCGCAGCTGTTGCCTGGTGCTGCCACCATAGAGGAGAGTCCGCCCTCTTGCAGTGGTGTCCAAGCAGGACAGTTGGTTATGGGCGTGTGCTGAGTCTGCAGCCCAAAGCTGGCACTGGAAGAGCCAGGGGCAGGTGAGACGTGGGCCAGAATCAGCAACCTCCCTGTGGGCTAACTTTGAACCCCTGCAGACAACATCTGGTGCTATGCCTTAGAGAAGCCTGCAGGAGCCAACACTGAGACATTCACTTAGGTTTGAAACACAAAGTTGCCACCGTCCGTGCCACCAAATGCTCTGTTAGGATGCAGGACTGTCCGCTGTGACTCCCTCTGCATTTTCCCACAGGTTTTATTCTCTCCACTTGTCTTCAGTTGCTCACTGAGGTCCTCTGGCAGAGACAGCGTGCACAGACCCAGGAAAGCTTGGCGGGTGGGTGGAAGGACCCTCTGTGGGACAGCCGCTTCTCGGGATGCTGGGATGGTGCCCTCCAGACCCTGGTTTCCCTCAGAAGGCTCCCCGTGCCCCTTCCTCTGGGAGCTGGGTTTGCTCGTCACTGTGGAGGCCACGTGTACACTATGCTTCTGGGGTGCCCCTCATGTCTCAGCTGTCCCCTCTCAACTGTGGGCGCTTTGAAAGTGGGGCTCATGCTTTACTGATTTTTCTATCTCCAGTGCATTCTTGTAATTGACATGCAACGTAACTTTAAAGCAATAGTTTAAAAATTCATCTATCAGAAGATATCAAGGCCTAACATAAATTTTAGCAACCCTCCAAATCTCATATATTTTTTAAGAATTTCTGCATTCATCGCATTGCTATGATTTCACATTTTCTGCCCACCATGTGTAGCCCTGCAATTTGCTTGTTCTGGCCCACAGTAGATAAACCTGGTCTGCCAAGTTTTCTCAAATCTTCTTATCTAAAATCTTATTCAATCACTCAGAAAGTAGAAATATTTACTCCAACAAAAATAACACGAGCCCGCTCCCTTCCTACCAAGGGATCATTTCTCCTGAGTATTTTGACATTAACAATTTTAAAAGATGAACAAATTTCCCAAAATTCTTTAAAAAGTTAGTAGCTTGTCATGTTTGACACTACTGAGATGCACATCCCCTCTGAAACAGATTGGCCAAATCCTCAGGCAGCAGAGGAATTCGAGTGGAGGCCTGAAAGGCAGGCTTCGGACTAAGGTAAGAGTTCAAGTCACTGAGACCTGAGCCCATATTGAAATCGAAGCTGTGTTTCTTCAGCACCTACGCACCCTAAATCTGTGCGCGCACGAAGCTCCGTGGCCGTCCCACACCAGCCTCTGCTCATCCCTCCCCCGCCCGGAGCACTTGGGGTGACTGCCCGCTCACTGCTCAGCTGGGAGAGGAAGTCCGCCATCTGGGCCCTACACCCTCATGGAATGTGCCTCTCCCTCCAGCACCCCCGCCATACTCCTACAATAAATGTGTTTTTCTAATCATAATTGAAAACAGTTAAAAATGAAATAGAAAATGCAAAGGATTTTTGGCTAACTTTTTTCAGCCTATTAATATTTTCCTAAGCAAGATTTAATTCAAGGGCACATTAAACGGATTCAGTAAATGACTGTGTGGTATATTAACGGTAATACAAACACCAGGCATGGACAAGCTGCAAGACTTCTTTAGTGAATGCACAATATCCAATGAAACTGGAGCAGGAAGGCTTGTTACTATCATTCTGTGCGGTATATGTCTGTATGGGTGTGTAGGGGTGTGTTTGTGTGTGCCTGTGGGGGATGTGTTTGAGTGCGTGTATATGCATGTACCTGTGTGTCTGTGTGTGCATGTGTTTCTGTGTGCATAGTTGTGTGTGGGTGTGTATGTGTCTCTGTGTAGAGATGTGTGTGTTTGTGTGCATGTGTGCACATGGATGTGTTGCATGTGAACATGTGTGTGTCATGTATTTTTGTGTGTGTCTTGTGCGAGGCGTGTGTCTACATCTGTGTGTATGTGCGTACTTGTGTATTGTGTGTTTACATGTGCACGTGTGTAGATGTATATGTGTATTGCATGTATGTGTGTGTGCGCTGCATGTGTATGTGCGTATGTGTTTGCATGTGCAGGTTTATATGCTTGTGCATATATGTACGTATGTTTTTGTGGGTGCATTTGTGTGTGTGTTGTGAGTGCCTGTGTATGTGTGTGTGCATGAATATTTGGGTGTGGGGACATGTGCATTGCGCATGTGTGTGTGCCTGTTTGTGAGCGCTGACACTATTTGCCCTGCCCATTGATCGTCTCCCTTCCCTGGTCTCAGATACTCACTTGTTCCTCTCCTAAGATACCTGTCTGCACCATGATTTCTATGGGCTTACTTCATTACCATATATCATCCGGTTCAAAGTCAAACCTCATCAATTAAAGACCAAAAAATAAAACAGCAAAGTGGCTAGCTGCACTCCTTCTGAGTAAATGACAATTAGCAAATAGACAATCCTTCATTGTTTCCTTCATTAACAGAAAATAGTACACTGGGCTACTTGGAGGATTTTTGGTTAATCGGTGGCATCCATCTGCAGCCTTTGTTTAGCAGGTCTGTGCGGCTCTCCTCTCCGGCACGAGCATGTTTATCGTGGTCTCCTGAAAGCCCAGAAGCCCATAGGTCAGAGAACAGCGTTTTGATGGATTATAGGATTGTAACTGTCCCTGCCAGTTGACAGCTTTTATTGGCTGGGAGGATGAGCCTGTAAACCTTTATATAATTATTGTATTAAAGGCACTGTGCCTCTGTGTTGCTGGCGCTTGTTCAGGGATCAATGTGGAGATAATTTCAAAAATGAATAGTAAGTATTGATCGTCCCATGGTGGGGCCTTATCAGCGGCTGAGGCCGAGGGCTGCAGACTATAACTTCAATGTCATTTATGATGATATGATGTGCATTGCCGGGGAGCAATTTCAACAAAGGGCTGATTTAATTCGCAGCGGATTTTTGTAGTGTGATGGGTAATAAATCACAATCTATGTAATTTTTAGAAATGAACACATGTTGGCAGTAGTTCAGGGCAGTTCCTAAGAGATCTGAAAATGACCAGGGAGGGGAAATATCAGCCGAGAACCCCCTCTGAATGATTGGGCTTTGCTTGATTCTGGCATTCACATGACCTTGGGGTCCCTGCTGGCAGCTGCTGGTTAATTTTCTTCACTGAGGACACAGTTTAACTTTCTATCTGTCTGCCAATTACCTGACATTTTCAACTTATCACCTTCTATTTTTTAAATGATTGGAGGCACATCCACATTTTGACATTTTTTTTAAAGCAAGTATTCGTTCTGTTGCTGCAGAGGCATCTCTCTGCCATTCTGCTGTAGTAGCCCTCTTCTATTTCCCCTCACGAAAATTAACATCAGTTTACATAACCACATAAAGAGACAATTCGGGCATTTTATTGTAATTTTCAATACTTCCTTGGTTAGATGCTGCCAACTTCTAAATTTCAACCTTAGCCATAGACTCATGCATGGAAACTCACAAATCGTCTCTTAGGAAATTATACTCAGTGGTCCTTGTTTGAAGAAGGTTCTACCCTTTAAAAATAAATCATTTTAAAGTAAATCATTAAGGAATACTGGAACAACATGAACAGATTCATTAAGCCCTCTAAAATTAGAAAAAATGAAGCAACAGTCATGAATTGTAACTTGTTGATTTCAGTTATTATAATACTAACAGTATATTTTATATCCATTCATTTCAGAGGAAGCAAATTTTGATACTTCAAGGATATTGGATGCAGATCCCTAGGAAAGAGTATTACAGGATTAGAAAACTAAAAATAGAATCCAGGCTGGGTCTGCAAAAGGCGCAATAGTTCTCCCAGGTTCCCACCGATGCTGATGTGGAATCTCAACGCCAGTGCCCCTGTGCCGGGGCCGCATCTGTCACCGTGCGCCCCCGTCTAAGCGTCGTTTAACTGGGGGAGGAACAGGTAAATTAGAGAATCTTATATCCAAGGCCAGGTTTTGTACTACATGACTCAGACTCAGTGAGCGAGGGCGTGTTCTTGGAGGGCAGATTTCCCAGCCTATGGATTTATAACCCTTCCTCCATGACCTGGGATTCTGCGGCTTCAACTTAGAGCTCACAGGCCTGAGCCCCCGAGAGCCCAAAATTAGAAAACATCTTGTGTGATACTATCTCTTGATTGCCTGGTTCGTTGTTTTTACATTTTTAGTCTTTCTTATTTTCTAAAAATAATCGTGAAGCCCTAACCTTTCCCCTCTCACATCAATTCATGGTGAAAACACTTTCATTGTATTTCAGATAGTTTACCCCTACCATTTTTTAAAACGTGTTGCACAAACCGGGGCCTGCTGGGGGGTGGGAGGCAAGGGAAGGGGGAGCATTAGGACAAATACCTAATGCATTCATGCATGTAGGGCTTAAAACCTAGATGACGGGTTGACGGGTGCAGCAAACCACCATGGCACATGTATACCTGTGTAACAAACCTGCACGTTCAGCACATGTATCCCAGAACTTAAAATAAAATTAAAAAAACAAAAACAAAAACATGTGCTGCCCTCACAGTGCCCGTGAGTGAGTGTGCTCATTCTGCTCATCCACCCAACACTTAGTTTACTTGCAAATACAGGACTTAATACTTATGATGTCACAGACACCCCCCAACACACACACCCAGTCTGTATCTCTCAATCTCTCAAGGCGGCTTCCTCCCTCTTCCTCACTGCGTGTCTCTCTTACCTTATGGAGAACACTTTTCCTACCTTTCATTTTTCCTCTTCAATTTTTCCCTAACCTCGTCATACAAAAAAAAAAACCCTCCCCCAACCCTCACCAATATATTACAACCAAATTATATGTAAAAGATCTGAATGGAACCTCTGTCATCTTGGGAACAGCATATGGATTCCAATAATAAGTCACAATTTCTATCCTCTGCCCCAACCTGTGCTATGTAAGGCTCCTGCCTACAAAAACTCCACTTCCCAAAACTCAGTTTCCTTCGGTTCCATGTGGTGCCCAGGAATGTTTGCTCTGCGCCTACAATGGCTTCCTCTGAAGACACTTCTAAGAGAGATGGCTTTTCCTTCACATAAAGATATTGCATCCTCTAGCTTCGATGTTTGACTTACAGTCTACATTTTGCCATTTGGCATAAAAATGTTGAAATAAACTTAACACAACAGACATTTATCCAGCCCCTACTCTACGCGGAGCATGATGCCAAATCCTCGAGGCACAAAGATCCTAGGATTAAGCCTCTATCTGTAAGGAGCTCCTAGCACAGAACATAAGAGGCACATGACAGTGGGTCCATTTCAACCCGTTACTGGGAATATAGCAGTAGGAGTGCCGGATACAGAGGGTCCAGGGCCCCGGGGTCAATGGCATTGACATCCAGCTGCAGTCCCACATAGGGCTTCTCAGAGAAGACGGTGGCTGAACCAGGGGCGAACAAGGATGCGTCAGGGTGCGCTAGGTGCACATACGTCTAGTTAAGAGGAGCAGCGTGTACAAAGATGTGAAGCTATGAAACAGTCTGCGGAAGGCGGGGGAAGGTTTTGGGAGTGAGGGAAGGGGAGGCTGGGAAACAGGAACCAGTACTGGAATGTGTAAAAATGGTAGAAATAATGTTCAAGGACAAGGGTTACTTTTAATCCCACAGCTTCCATATTCTACTCTTCTGATGAATTATCCATTTAATAGCTTCCTAAGTAATCATTTTAGAAAGTTATACCAATAAAATACTCTAGTCTTTCAATTTTCCCCAATGTAAGACCTCATTACCTCCTGTAATAAGAGTACAGTGACATTCTCAGCACTGTACTGTACTTAAGAGCCAGTGTACGTTTCATGAAGAAGATGCCTTTCAAGTTGTGAGTTTCCTAATGTTTCTACGATTTCATTTCTAATGTTATAATTAATTGATTTTCAACTTAAATGTGGTATTTCCTCTCTACAATTAGAAATGTGAAATATAAGAAAAAACTTACATTGTATGCTTTTTATGTGTGGTTCATTTTGGTTTGCACTAATTTCAATATATTTTTGATAATGCTGTCCTGGTAGAACATATAAAAGGAAAATACCTGTCCTGAAGCATTTATCGGATTTTAACAATTATAGTAATTAAATTTTAAAGCATGACCATAAGTTAGAAAGAAATAAAAAGTTGATATCCTTCAAATGACTTAATTTGTATTAATGATAATCATATTATATGATGTTTTATTTTACTTATTTTTTTCTTTTTTTGAGATGAGGTCTCATTCTGTCACCCAGGCTGGTATGCAGTGGTGTGATCTCGGTTCACTGCAACCTCCACCTTCTGGACTCAATTGATCCTCCTGCCTTAGCCTCCCCAGTAGCTGACACTACAGGCATGTGCCACCATGCCCAGCTAATTTTTGTACTTTTTGTGGAGACGACCATGTTCCCCAGGCTGGTCTCAAACTCCTGAGCTCAAGCAATCCTCTCACCTTAGCCTCCCAAAGTGCTGGGATTACAGGCATGAGCCACCGCACCCAGCCAGCATTTTGTTTTTAAATATTGTAGTTTCTGTTATCTTTGCAATGAAGATGTGAAAGGAAACATTATCTTATTCATATATTAATATTATTAATAAGAATAATCCTCATTTATTAAATATTTCTGAATATGGAGCAGACACAGTGACAACATTTTGCATGTATGAGCTCACTTGGTCTTTCGGTCACTCTGAGACAGTTGCTTTTACGTCCCCGTTTTGCAGATGAGGTTACAGAACATACCATCCCTCCAAGCCCACGCAGCTCGGTGAAGTGAAGTGAAGCAAGAGTCCAGCTCAGGTCTGGGTCCAAAGCTCATGTCTCAAAATTAATCAGGCTCTACAAAAGACATTGGTTCCCTAAGTGAATTACATCCTAAACAATTTTAAAGAATTAAGAATATATTCTGCTTTTTTTTTTTGAGATCTTGAGCTAAGAAGACTTTATTACGCTTCCACATTCTCTATTCTGAAAATATCTACTATCATATTTGGGGAAAAGAACAATAAAATTTTACCTTATGTTTACATGAGAAGGTTAAATATTTTAACTTTATCCACACCTCTGACAGTCTTGGACTTCAACTGAGCCCTGTGATCCTGGAAAATGGTGAAGGGTAAGAAATCTCACCGTGGTGTTCCTGCAAACAGCTCACTACAAGGTGCCGCCCGCCCCATGCGGCTTAGGTGAGATCCAGACGAGTCCCTCGAACTCCGTGCCTCATGCATGATTAGCTGTATCGCTTGTTCCCGCTGATGTGTCAGACGTCATGCTTGTGAGTCAAACACAGGCCAAGCTTTTCACCTTCTCCAGGTCCCCACACACAGTCTGAGCCCCATAGACAGCCCTGTCACCAGTCCCTCCTGAGAACAGACCAACCTCGAGGGAAAGCATTTCCGGACCTGCACACCCAGTTTATCTAGCTCTGTTCACTTCTCCTTAGAAAAGAAAAACCCTTTTCCTAATCCTTGGGAGACATGCAGACTTTACGGGTGGAGACTTCTCCCCGTGGCAATGACCTCCTCCCTCTGTGGCCATAGTCACTTTCTCTCCTTTGCAATAACCCTGCTGAATATCGTCTCTCTTTGCCCAGTCTGAGTTTATTTCTTACTGGACACCATTTTTTATCAGCACAGAATAAAGATTGACTGCTCAGTGATTCAACTTTTATTAAGTAAATTGCATCTCCTTCGTCAGGTGACCCGATCCCAGTTCTACCAGCACAACACACACAGCTGCCCAGTCACCTCTCCTCCAGAAGTTCCACCGGGAATTAGATGAGACTTTTGAAAAATTATTTTAAATGGTAATAAATTCTGTGCATGGTAAAAGGTAAAAGAGAGGGTGGTTTTGATGCCCTTTAGTATAAACTCTATAGAATTAAAAAAACTGCCACGCTTCCGTTTTTCCTAAGTGTTTACCAACATGGACGTGAGTAGCAATGTGAAGATCAAACACTCTAACTCCAAGAATAGAGGCTGAGTGCAGGTTATCCGGCAAGCGCCATCGTGGGACACCGCCTGGCCAAGACGCCCCACGCCCCTCGTATATGTAACCACACATGCAACTCCTGCTTACTCGTGTTAGTGGATGGGGTCAGAGATGCGGATAAATCAATGTATCCGACTATTCTAAAATAATTACTATTGATCCATGCAGGACTGGAATTCTTGCCTTAATATTTAAATATTGATATATATGACACCCTGGAAATCTAGAGTCTTTGAAGTAAAATGATGATGACACCTTCTAAATTTACCCATCTCAATTGGGCTAGGGTTTCCCAGTGCCCATATCTCTTCTCCCGCTCTCCTCCACCCAGCAGAACAGACCATCTACTGGAATATGCTAGAACTGCCAGAAATGAGTGACACATTCAACTAGAACAATTGGAGGATTTTCGTAAGGGGCTGCTCACATAGGAGTGGGCGGGTCACAGGGGACCACAAGAACTTACTAGGAGTGGGTGCAGGCTCTTCTCCTGAGACTGAATTGGAGCAAGGGAAAACCTCGCTGGGACCTGCAGTGAGAGGCTATGTGGACAGGGTGGGCCTCCAGGGTGGGGTGTGCTGGGGAAGGGCCCAGCTGCCTTGCTTCTCACAGAGAGGGTTGAGGAACAAAGGCCCTAATTTTGCCTTCCTCATTCACAGGTCCCATGGATGAATCCTGCTGATGACTAGCTATCCCAGGGATGGAGCCCATGGTGTCAACCCCTCAGGACACAGAGCAGAGGGGGAAAGAGCTGAGAGTGAATCTGAATGAGGGACAGAAGATGTGAGTTACAGGTAACTCATTTTATTTTATTTTATTTTTTTGAGACGGAGTCTCTGTTGCCCAGGCTGGAGTGCAGTGGCATGATCTCGGCTCACTGGAACCTCCACCTCCCGGGTTCAAGCAATTCTCCTGCCTCATTCTCCCAAGTAGCTGGGATTACACGTGCACGCCACCGTGCCCAGATAATTTTGTTTTTGTATTTTTAGTAGTTTCACCATGTTGGTCAGGCTAGTCTCGAACTCCTGACCTCAAATGATCTGCCCGCCTCGGCCTCCCAAAGTGCTGGTGTTACAGACATGAGCCACCAGGCTTGGCCTGATAATTCATTTTAGATGTGTGTTCAGGCTTGCATGAAAGGAAGTGATGACAGGACCACGAGATTTAAGAGCTTACAAATCAACGAAAGGAGTGCACATGTGTGGGTCATTTGAGGAGTGATGACTCGGGATGGAGGTGTAGGCACAGCGGGCCTGGAGTTCAAGTGAGTGATGACGGGAATGGTGATGGAGAAAGTGGAGGTGTAGATGGGAGGACAGGTTGGGTGTGCTTTTGATAGAGGTGGTTAGAGGAAGCTTGCTCCAGCTAAACACACCAGAGAAGTGCCTGCCGAATGATGGAAACAGGTGGACATTTCAGAAAAAGAGGGAAGAAATCACTGATGAGTTGGAAATGGATCCAATGAGGCAAGAGGAGACAGAAACCACCAATATTCTTATTGCTAGGCCCTGAACCGGCAATAAAGAGGGAAAGGGAGCTGGATTAGGAACACGTGAGGGAGAGAGCCATGAGTTTTTATTTTTTTTTGTTTAAAATAACTTTTGATTATACAATAAACACACATTTTAAATAATTTGCAGTAAATAACAAAGAGAAAGCAAGAAATTTAAAATGGCCATAAGTGACTATAATCATGGTTTCTAAGAGATAGCCACTGGTTTTCAGCATTTTTGGTAGATTCATTTAGTACTAAATATTATGTGCGAGTTGCAGACATGCTCTCCTGTGTCGAATCTGCAGAACACAATGTCTGACAACCAGAAAGGGCCAAATAAATCTTCGTTGTACAAGTTGTTCTTTGAAGAAATTTAGATCATTCGTACATGTGTGTGCGTGTGTGTGTGTGCCTGTTTCTAGCATTATAATCTGCTTTAAAAATACAGTTAGCTTTTTTGTCATTGGAGATTTTATTTATAATTTTCATTATTATAAATATGATAACTATTCTATAGAGTAAACTGTGGCGTATGTGTGATGCTTTGCTTAGTATAAATTGGAATTCGTTACTGGACATGTTGAACTTCAGCTTTTGGAAGAATATCCAGATGGAGCGGTATAGGGGTCAGGAAGAGATGTATTGATACTATCACAAATGCCTTAAAATACCAAGTGAATACACCTAGTCTTGCCGTCTCTATTTTTTTCCTTGGGGAGATGTCAGAGAAGCCCAGACAATGGCTGATCATCTAAAATGAAGTGTGGGGTAAAGAGAGGAATAATGGTAGACCCTTAGAGAACGCTCATTTTCAGACATGAGAAGAAAGAAGGAGAGTTCGGAAACGGACTGCCGAATGTCTGGGGGTGACAAGAAACACCAGGACAATGGAATGTCACTACACCGCCAAAAAGTGTGGAGCCATTTGTGTTCCCTATCCTTCTCAGGAGAAGATCTGGGCTGGAAGTGCTGGTTTATGGTTTGTTAGTGTATTAGTCCGTTTTCACGCTACTGATAAAAGACCTACCGGAGACTGGGCAATTTACAAAAGAAAGACGCTTAATTGTACTCACAGTTTCACGTGGCTGGGGAGGCCTCACAATCATGGCAGAAGGCAAGGAGGGGCAAATCATACCTTACGTGGATGGCGGCAGGCAAAAAGAGCCTATGCAGCGAAACTCCCGTTTTTATAACCATCAGATCTCGTGAGACCCATTCACTATCACGAGAACAGCACGGGAAAGACCCGCCCCCATAACGCAATCACCTCCCACCGGGTCCCTCCCACCACACGTGGGAATTCAAGATGAGATCTGAGTGGAGACACAGCCAAACCGCATCAGTTCGGCAATAGGTACTGGTCAGAGCCAGAGACCAGGATGACCCTGCCCCTTCCGCTGAGGTCTAGAGTGACCAGAGAAGGGAACTCCAGGGTAAAACAGAGCGGCAACCCCTAAGAACCTGGGGGCACAAACAGCACAAAGACCATTTAATGAAGCATTTTCAGAGTTTAGGATATTTCCAACAAAATATTTTCCCCAAAAGGTATCTTTAATAATATTGGATGCGTTGATTTCTAAGAGGGTCCTACAGAGACACATTCCAGTCACTGGTCTCCCTTTCTCCCATGTATTGGTATTTTCAATACATAATGTCTGGAGCAGAGCATGGAAATGGCCTGAAAATATCCTCTCCTTTGCATACGGGAACACACAGATGGGAGGATGCGTCTTCAGGAGAAGGTGAGCGAGACCTCGGTAGCAGAGGAACAAGTTCAAGACTACACATCTTCTTACTTGTCAGTTTAAATCTCAAGTGAAGAGCGAGCTCACTGCAGGTCTAAAAACAGTGTTTCCTGCTGCCAAGACATGAATGAGCTAATTGTGTTTTAAATAGTTCACCTTACAAAAAATTTTCTTTCTTTATGTGAAAAGAGCTGTGATTTATTAATTTTCCTTTCTATTATTTGCTATAGACTTTCCCTAGCATCTTCCCCACAAATCACTTCTCTATTGAAACCAATACTGAAACCTCAGTGTAATTAGTGTAGATTGCAGGACATGTGTGAAATAAAACAAGCAAATTTAAAATATCTGGGCAGCCCCCTTTCAGGCAGTAATGTAAGGGACCCTTCAAGGAGGATTTTCAGGGTAGCATCTTTCACCTTGGCAGCCAATCCAGCATCAAAGGTGACAGGACTGGGCAGTAGGCACTTAGAAAAGATAGCTGCAAATGCTACAAAGAACTAAATTAGTAAAGGAAACTTAATTATCTTGCCTGCAGCCTCCCTCTGGTCAGTATCCCAATTGAACACAGACAAAACTCAACATTTTTATAAATGCACTACTTCAGACTTAGAATAATTCCTTTCTTAACCATTCATCTAGAACTGCACTGGCCATTTTTTTTTCTGTCCTTTATCTATAGATTTAGAAACAGTAAATATCAAATGACATCCATTAAATCATAAAAACACATGCCGCTTTGTTTTTTAGGAAACCAGTTTTGACTTTTGTTTTTCAACTTAGAAAATGGGAACAAGGATATTTTTAAAGACGTAAATTATATAGTATAAGCAACTAACATACTTATCCAAATACTTTCAGAACATTCTGTGATGTTGTTTTATACACAAGCACACATCAACGTGTGTGTGCCATACTATAGGCATGAAAGAACATCCTTCAAGCCAAGGGTATAAATCTCATTATAGTACAGAAAATGTGATTAAGTCATTTCTGGAAAAGATACGTTAGTAAATAAGGATGATAAAGAAAAAAGTCTATTTTCATTGAGGTTATACATTTGCAAGGTTATAATATTTTCAAAATGTTTGAAACCTATCTTACATGGGAAGACACCCTACAGAAATTACCTTTCATATATCCTCTTCAGTCTTTTCTCTCTGACTTGTTTATAAAACTTTAAATTAAAGATGATAGAATCTTAGATAATGTTAACTGTGTTACTTGCGACTGCTCCATTCTGGTGAGAGGAACAGTTCTGAAACAGTTCTGGAAAGCAGAACATTTCTGGAGAGGGGAACCGTTTTGGAGAGGGGAACAGTTCTGGAGATGGGGACAGTTCTGGAGAGGGGAACAGTTTGGGAGACAAGGACAGTTCTGGAGACGAGGACAGTTCTGCAGAGAGAAGTAGTTCTGGAGAGGGGACAGTTCTGAACAGAGGAACAGTTCTGGAGAGGGGGACAATCTTGGAGAGGAGGATAGTTGGGGAGAGAAGGACAGTTCTGGAAAGGGGAACAGTTCTGGAGCTAGGGGTAGTTCTGTAGAGGGGAACAGTTCTGGAGAAAGAAAGAGTTCTGGAAAGGGGGGCAGTTCTGGAGAAGACGACAGTTCTGGAGAGAGGAACAGTTCTGGAGAGAGGGACAATTCTGGAGAGGAGGACAGTTCTAAAGAGCTGCCAGCAAGAGCTAGGTCAACCTAGGCCAGTCTTCAAAATGTTGGGTCTTCTGTTTATGTTTGTATTCCTCTGAGTTATGGATCCAGCCTGGCATGCCGTGAGTCTCTTGCCATCCCAGCCTTTTCTTAAGGCAACTGCACTAATGCATACTGTTTAATCCTTGAGCCATGGCAAACTATGAGGAAAGACCAAATGGTGAACAGAGGCAAAGAGGAGAAGGCAGAGAAAGGCTTAAAAATGCGTCGACTTCTTACTCAGCCAGCTTATTAAGGGGAAGGCTGCAATATGGATTAAAACATTGATTACATAGGGAAAAAGTATGAATTTTAGTGTTTAGAAGAATGCTTATTAAGAAGACTACCTCTGAACTCTTTCATGTTTGCTTTGTAAAGTTTTAGGTTGTTTATGAAATCTGATAATAAATTTTCATGTCATGTGTTTGAAACAGTTTGTGGAGACTCTTATATAAAAAAAAAACTCTTTAGATCATATTTCTCTAGTTTTGTTGTATCCTGAAAAATCACCATATGCTTTGAGGTCAAAACTCATGGTTATAAATATCAAAATAAAAAATATTGTATATATTTTTATTATAATGTTTTTGTATAGACTGGTGCATAGCCCTGATTTACTTCAAACTAAGAACATGAGTAAGTAGATATATATGTACCCTTGTAGTTATATATAGTTAATGTATATCCAACTCATTGTCATGTTAGCCTCGGCATGCATATTTTTATATATTTTACACACACACAAACCAAATTCATGCATATATAACAATTGCCAAATGCAGCTCTCTGTTGATCTTCAAATGTAGTATTTATCTGTCTGCAGACCAAACTATGTGCTTGCTATATCATTACTAGCTCAGGGGGAATCATTCAGACCAATGCAATTTACTCAATATTGGTCAGTTTGACTCCTGACCCTCGTCCCTCGACATCGTATCCTTGGCAACCCTTGCTGTGTGTTAAGGCAGGATGTGCTTATTGGTCTCATCTGTGACAGCTTGCTAAAGGCTGCTTAACATAGCCTGGTCTTTTCACAGAAAATTAGAAATCCAATAATATACTATATTCTGATCAGATTGATATTTACACAAGGAAAACCACAATTGAGGTGTGCTTTCTAAGCACTATGTCGAAGCTGCCAGGTCCTTTGGTTAGTTCGTTGCGTATACCATGAAGTGTGAGTTATTTTCTTTGTTGTCTTATGGTTGGTGGGGAGAGAAGGATTAGATATGTTTTACCCTCTGTTTGGGAGATCATTACACCTGACATGTATGCACGGATTCATCAGTTGGCAAAATAAACCAGAAAATTTTGTGGAAAATATCCCTTAGGAAATATTATACAACATTTTCATTTTTGTATTTTATTTTTAGTAACTTTTACTGTGTATATTTGAGGTATAGAATCAGGTTGCTATAGTGAGGTCAACTAACATGTTTGTCATTTCACACAGTTATGCAGTTTTTCACTCTCATATTTTAAATGAGCTGATTACCAAGAGGGTGTACTATGTTTGTGTATACCTGAGAAATTGTGGAAATTGGCAAATTTATGAATATATATATATATGAATATGTGGGAATATATGGGAAATAATGCCTGAATTGCGAAGGAAATCTTGAAAATAGCATTTATATAGACTATTGTTGCCAAATCACTCAAATTCAGTAACAGATAGCTGTAACACATTTCCAAGCAGACAGTAGGGAGATTGGAGATGATAAATTATTATGAAATCAACAGCATCATCCCTGCTTATAAAAAATGGCCAATTGTCTCACACATGTCTCCCAAAATCCACATGAAAGAAACCTCCCTTAGCTGATGTTATACAGCTTTTTCAATTTAGCACTTTGTTTTCTCCTTGAGATTTAGAAGTAGTAGGTGTTCATTTTCATGTAAGACAAAATAGGGCTTGAAGAATATCTCCAGAGTCTTTGTAAAGAAGGGTGATGTATTCTCGTGCTCAAAAGCAGACACGTGCCTACCCACACTCAACAACCTACATCCTACAAGCCTACTTCTATTTTTAAAAGTTCAAAAGTAAAGAAGGAAAACAAATGGAAGACAGAGAAAGGAATAGAGGAGGCGACACAGAAGGAAGAAGGAAGGTCAGCTGTTTTTCACTGTAATTGAACTTTCACACTAATGTTTCCTAGAGAGAAGAACAAAACAGTTCCCCACAAAGGCTGTCAACAGCACATTGCACCCTGCCCACCGCAGAAAGTGTGGCCACCAGAATGCCACCCGCAATACCCGTGGTGCTGGTGGAGGGTAGTTTTTATTTTTTTGCATTTAGAAAAATCTAGTTAATATTTACTTGTTGTGAAATCCCATTATTTTGATTATCTACTTATATTGATGATACATTTCTGTGGTTGTTAAACAAATTTCACACTTCAAAAAATCAAGTGTATGCTTGTGGAGGGACCAAGTTACTTTGAAAACAGAGCCTTTTAACATTTTGATTCTCTGCTAATCCACAGACAATTCTTGCATGAATTTGACCATTGTGTATACTTTTTGGTGGGATCTGATGTATATAAAATGTTGGCATTTCATATGCTGTGTATATGAAACATTGGTATTTCAGTGATTCTTGCTTAGCCACATCTCGAATATTTAAGATTATCTCCAAAATGAACATGCTGAATTTTATATTGGTCATTGTCACTTCCTGATTTTTCACATTTTCAGGCTCTGCTCCCTCCAGGCCCACCTGTTGCCTGTCTTCATTCTGGGCCACATACGATTTCTGCCAACAAACAATCACACAGTGGAGCACGCCCACCTGGTGCACAGCTGAAGGCGTGTTCAGTATCAGGAAGAGACGCTGTCTGCCTGGCCATTATTCGCATGGGAGGCAGGGGTGATGTCACTGGGCACTGGGCACTGAGCTGGTCCTGGGAGTGGACCAGGCTGCATCAGCTTTTCTTCAAATACCTTCAACACCAGGACAGGTGGTGGTCACCTCCGTATGCACAAAGGACCGTTACAGGATAAATACAGTCATCATTTACTTTACAGTAAAAATAAAAAGAGATGTAATCCTTTTACAAATAAAAGATGAGAGTGTTTTCAAAAGCATTTCTTACATATAAATAGTGCATTATGCCTCTGTTTTGTTAAGAGTTTTACTTTTCTAGCTGTGTATACCACTGTTATCAGAATTCAATCACAAATGCAGCAAATACCTTTTGGAACTTTTACAATAAATAAGGCTGTGAGAATTTCAGCAAAGAAAAACATGATCTTTGTCCTTGAGGAAGTGATATTTTTTCTATAAGTTTTACTAAAAATTTTATCATTGTCATTATTTTGTTTTGTGCATTACTCATACCCAGGGGGCATAAACATCTTCTGTGAAAGCCTTGCATTGTTGATGCATTTCTGTGGTTGAACAAATTTCACACTTTAAAAAAATGAAGTATATATTTGTGGGGGGACAAAGTTACTTTCATAACAGCTTTTTAACTAACAGTACCCTAAATCCCAATTATTCTGTTTAATCATTTCTGCAAAATAGCCATAAAAAGGTTCACAGCACCCATAAAATTATAGAAATTCTCTGTAAAATCTTACTTTTAGGGAAACCCATATGTGAATCATAAACACATTTATATGCACACAAACACTTGGTCCTAGGGAATGGATGATTTACTTTTTATAGGAGAAAATGACCCTGGAAGAGGTCATACCTTAGAGCTGTGGTTGCCATCGCATCACTGGTTACAGAAGATAACTTGCTTTGAGAAAGTCATGTTACTGGGAAAACAAGTGGTAGAATTTGTATTACGTTACATCAGGAAAGGGCTTTATAAATCCTCAGTGCCAAAGATAGCCAAACTGTTATCTACCAGCAGAGCTTATCCTTAAAATGAAATGTGGTATACAAAAGAGCTGAAGGTAGATCTGGAAAGCCCATCCCCACGTAGGGCCCACTTGCAGGAGCTTCTAACCAGTCACTGAGCCCAGGGCAGTGAGGTTGGCTCAGCAGACCAGCCCTTGACCAACAAGAAGTCTATGGTGCCACAGTGATAAGCTCTATCTAAATGGAGACCCCACTGCATTACTAAATTCATTCCTGGGCAATAAACTAACCCACACTATAGCATTACATTTTTGGAAGGTACCAAAAGCCAGTTCTCCCATCTCCCATCCAGGAGGGTTTCCTCCACACTAAATTGAGAGGTATGCATTTTTCTATGTGGAGAATATGTATGATTATTTAGAATAGAACAGTGTCCTACCTTTGGCCTGAAATCAGAGCACTTTTTCATTTCACATGTAAAAGGAATCTATAGTTTAAATTCTCCTGGGCTTTAAAGTGTTTGTTTGATACTTTTAAAATACAATCATTTAGAAAAATGTCTATTTTCCATTATATTTCTAATTTGGAGCCAAATTCATACATTTTATATAATGCAGCTTGTATTTTTTAATTGCAATTTACTCTTTATTATTGAAACTGCTTGTGTTTTTCCAAGTCAACTGTTAGTCATTTCTTTCTCATTATTTGGAGGTAGAGAGAGTCCTTGATTCATCATAAAGTCTTTTGACTCTGACAGGCCAGGGTTCGAGCCCTTGCTCTGCCCATGGATATCCTGGCAGTGTTACCACTGTACCCTTCTCTCACATGGAGTGTGCAGATACTTACTTACTTCATTGACGTGTGAGCCTACGTGGCACATATTAAATGCTTAAAATTAGTTTTTGCAATAATATACCTTATGTGTATTTTTGTGTCTAAGTATTTTTTATTTGGTGCTTGTAAGCATTCTATCCAGTAAGTCTTTGTCCTTCAAAGTTTTTGTTTTTAAAAATCCCATCTGTGCTTACATTTTATAAAGGCTTGGTTAAACTTTCATTATTAAATAATTGTTCAAATGCACCTTGAAATTTTATTGTTTAACGTGTTATTTTCTGAAAGAAAGGTCGATTTTAGTGATTTTTAAGAAGGAAAATATTAACTAACCACTGCATTCATATTTAGCAGCCAAGCAAGCACATGAAGTGTTACAGTCAAGAACTAAATTGTGTGATTTGGGGGAAGAAATGTTCTTTCATGCTACTTAGCAGCCATTTTCGATTTCACCATAAACTGAAGTTTTTAATTCCTTTTCTTTAATTTTTTAAAATTTCAATAGCTTTTGGGGTACAAGTGGGTTTTTTTACATGGATGAATTATACATAGTGGTAAATTCTGAGATTTTAGTGTACTTGTGTCACCTTAGAAGTGTACATTGTATCCAATATGGAGTTTTTTATTCCTCACCCCCTTTTCACCCTTCCCCTTCTGAGTCTCTAAAGTTCGTTGTATTACTTCGTATGCCTTTGCATATCCATAGCCTAGCTCCCACATGTAAGTGAGAAGCTACAGCATTTGATTTTCCATTCCTGAGTTATGGAGTTGTTATTTTCTAAGTTCATTCCTGGGCAATAAACTAACCTTAGCAATACATTTTTGGAAGGTACAAATTCTGTCATCATAAAATGATTTAGTCATGAAAATGAGATGGAATGCCCTTTTTTTCAGGCTCCAACTTTGTAAGGCTTGCTTTCATGATATTTTCTGTGTAGCTGTCCCAAGCCACATGGGCAAGAAATACCACATGTCTCTTCTGTGCATGGCACTCAGCAGTGATCACAAGAGGAGGGGGGGTTTGGGAACTAAGCACCACAACAGGTGGGGATGGAGAGTGACCCTCGTGTGTTCTGTGTGCAATGGAAAAACACAGGACAAGTAAATAGAGGGTGTGCTTGCTTTCATATCACATGATCAAAATCAAGTATCTTTAGCCTTTAATATGCAAATTATCTTGCTAAAATACCATGATGTTGGCTTATGTTGTTCATGATGCACCTTGAAGTTTAATCTGACATGAAGGGAGATTATGCATTATGTGTGTGTGTTCTGAGACCATGCCAAATGGCTCTGACAGCCCAGTTGAAGTCACCCTGCCCAGAGAACCCCACAGTCAGCCCTCCTGCCTTTCCCCACATCATCTGTTTGTTCCCATTCATGATTTGCATGTTTATGCACTTATCTAACTCATCTCCTTGCATATGGAAATCCTGATGGGTCACACCTAACCTTCTCTGTTTTTGAGACTTCTTTGCAAATGATTGATGATGCCTTGAAATTAAGAAAAAAGCACCTAATAAAAGCATTAACATCATCATTTATAAAAATATATGTCAGAATATATAAAGTTGACATTTATAAGGAAATAATCATTAATCTATTTAAGAGTACAACCTCATGTGTTAACACTTTAGGACACTGGTAATTTTTACTGTTTGCTGAAAATGTTTTCAATGCACAGTCAGTCCTCTGTATTTGTGGATTTTCCATCCATAGATTCAACCAATCAAGATTGAAAATATTCAGAAAAAAATAATTGCATTCGTACAGAACATGTCCAGACACTTTTCTTGCCGTTATTTTCTAGGCAATCCAGAAAACAACTAGATAGCATTTACCCTGAAATTGGTATTATAAATAACCTAGAGTTGATGCTAGTGAACAAGAAGACGTGCACAGATTATGAGCAGACACTACACCATTTTATATCAGGAACTTGAGCATGTGTGGACTTTGGTATCTCCAGGGGTTCCTGGAAACTGTCTCCCATGGATACGGGGGCAACTGTACACATTTGAAGTTTCAAAAGCTTATAATACATTCAGTTAAATTCCCACTTGGGGGCTTAATCATTTTAGACGTTCTAGAGTGTTGCATATCCTGACATAGTCAATACCGTTCTGGTGACTGAGATGGGAATTAATATGTGAACACTTGATTCATTAAGATACTGTGATCCCTACTTATCTTAGAAAATAATGGTGTTCAAAGATAGTAAAATTAAATTAATAGAGTACTTCCATTAGAAAAGAAGCCTTTCTCTTTGTATTTTCCTGTCCATTCCCTTGTTGCCACAAAAAGTTTCCTACAGAGCCAAAGGTTCCCTCTGAGGGCCTGAGCTGGGTGGCTCACAGGCCCTGCAGAGCCTGGGGTGAGCAGAAGCGGATGGGAAGCTGGAGGGAGTTTGCACCACCTGCAAGGAGCCGTATGGCTGGACCGCAGCCCACTGTGCCCTGCACAATGAGAACACAATATGGCCAGATCCACATATTTTTAATAAAAGCTAAAAATCCATACATGTATATAAAAACATCCCAATGTTTAAATGCTAGTTGAATTTTTTAAAAAAATTATATAAGCCACACAAAACCCTTCTGGTGGGGGCATGAAGACCTTCCGTCTGTGGCCCCTAACGTTTGCCATGAGCGGATGGCTCGGCTTCAGGCAGTACACGGCAGTGGCGTGCCCTGGTTCTCTCTGACTCTGGACTTGGTCCTGAAAACAGGCCTTTTGCAGGTTGAAATGCCAAGCGGCCAGCCCTTATGCCCTGACACAGGAGGAGGAGCTTCCTCACTTGAGACACTGGGTCCTTTGCGGGTTGAAATGTCAGGTGGCCAGCCCTCCAACCCAGACACAAGGGGAGGGGCATCCTCGCTTGAGACAGTGGGTCCCTGGTAAGGGGCAGGAACAGGAGCCTCAAAAATGCAGCACACCAGGGTTAAAACTGAAAGAAAAAGTGGACTATAGAAAAGCCCTAAATTTTAAGCAGTTGCCGATAGATTTTCGCTGTGGCAGGAAGAAGCAGACAGTGCACTTCACATTCACAGGGAGAGAGAAGGCGCCTTCAGTAGGAAACTCCGTCCGCTAGACCAGGGTTTTGCAAGACAGTGTCATCAGAACTTGCTATTCATGCCTGAATCCACATAACTGTGTTTAGACGATACGTAGATTATTCCAGAATCGTATGTGTGTGTGCGTGTGTGCATGCTGTGTCAACGTATCTTCTTAATAACCTTATCAAGTACCAGGCGCTAAGACAACCCTTTCGGTATCACTAAGAAGCATCTCCTGACAGCTTTGCTCAGCACCCATCTCCCTGTGATCCTGTTTCCTTACAATTTCAGTTGTTAAAATAAGAAAAAATGTCTGATCCTTTTCATGGTTTTAAGTTAACTAAACTAATTTATATAGTCAAGTTTTTTTAAGTTTTAACATATTTTGATTCCATGTGATTGATTTCTAGAACTTTGATCCAACTAAGCAGTATTCAATTTTAATTTTTATCTATCTAAATTTGGAAATTTCCTTATTTGTTTGATGATTTCAATTGTTGTTACAAATAACAAAATTAATATAACAGTCATAGGGGTAATATAATCCATCATTTTCTTATGTATTTTAATATGGAAGATTAGAATGGAAATTATGTAGCTATATAGAGCACATTTCATGTATATGTATGACTGGCTAGAAATTAAATTAATTGGGTATTTTATAAATTCTAAAATTATATGTACATCGTTTTAATGCTATACATTAGAGTTGAAAGTGTAAAACTCTCTAACAATTACAATATTTTTTATTATTTTAGCTAAAAAGAAATGCCAACAGGCTGCTATTTCAGCTGTCTCTTTGTTCGGTACTGTCCAAATGAATTCCCAATAAAATAAGATTGCTTTTAACAATTCCAACTTGTCTAAGAAGATTGAACTGGGAGATTTTACCTCTTCATCAACACAGGCACATTTTCTCTGTGGGCCATCCAGACACACATACAAAAACAAACTTGTAATGAGCGGGTACTTTACCAAGCCCTTTCTCCATCCTTCATTAAACGACAGAAAATTGCTCTTTGCTGGGTTTGTCAATGCAGCTTTCCCTCCCAGAAACCCATTTGTTTCACAGGCTAGCACCGAATATTGCAGGGATTTGCAGATTTTAAGTGACAAATTGTGCCTAAGTTTACATTGCTCTCGGAGTTGTGGTTTGTTTTGGCTTGTTGGGGTTTTGTTTGCATGATTTTTAAGGAGCTGGGACCTCATGACAGAGGGTGGCCCTGTGTCTCTCCCCCACTCTGCAGACTCTGGTGTGTCATGAAGACAGGGGCTTTGCTGTGTGATCTTTTCCCTCTGGATAAGGGTGTTTAAATGGCTCTGTTCTCTGAAAACAATCTCTATACAAGGTGTGATATATGTGGCTAGTTTAGAGTAAAAGCACAAACAAAATGGGAAAAGTGTTCTTTCATTGCATTCCTTCTGTTCTTCATTAAATCTTATTGAATTTGTCATCTTTTTTTAATTGCACTTGCACGTAATGGTGGTGAAAAGGTTTCATTTTCTTTTTTTTAATGAGTTAAAAACTTAACCATTTTACACCTTCTGCAAGAATAGCTCTTTTTGAGCATTTCAGACCAAAAAATCCCACAAATAACAGCAACGACGTAGCTTTGCCAGGCAACACTTTGCCGTGTAGGATTATAATCGATGTAAATCATTGAGCTTTGCTGCTTCGTAACATCAAGGGTGTCATGTGTGGGGCTGTGGCTTGTTGGAGTGATCATTATTTATTCATACCAAAAGATCAGCCAAACACTGTAATGCTGGAAATTCTATTGTAAAGGTGAGTGAATAGATGCAATGTTAAGTGTACTTGGTGGGGTTAAAGTGGACAGAAGATGATAGCTTTCAATAAAGACGTAGCGGAGCTCAATTGCAACATTTACATATGCTGTGAGTTGCCAACCAAATAAATGGAGACGGGCTTTGGACCGAGCCTGGAGCAGCCCATGCCCTTTAATTGCCATTTACATTGCAGAGAATCATTAATTTCTAATTCACCTATTATTCACTCTCCTTAGTATGCTATGTCGATGTCTGTATGGGGGCAATGAAATAAATGTGGTTTCCACCTTGCTTTAGCTACTTACATTTTGTGACTTTTTTGGATGATTTTTTTTGACCTGAAAATGAGTGGAAAAGACTACTTTCCACTCATAGCAAGTTTAGGGCTCTTGTTTAGATATGATTTATGATGCTACATTAACCCTTCATTGACCTAGAAATGCCCTAATATTAAAACGTTTGACACATAGAAAATCAAAAGCCGTTTTATTGAAAGTGCTACTGTCCGCATCATAAGTTTCCTCAATGCGATGCCACAGTTACACCATCAATTTCCAGCTACTATTGAGCACTGTATTGAAAATCGAATGGACAGAATCCTTTGTCATTTCTGTCCCAGTGACCAGCAAATAGCTCAGAGAAAGCCTCTCCCTCCACATCACTTCAGGCATTTCTGCAAGGCACATCCAAGGTAACACATTAGCGTTTATTTGAGGGTGTGAGGATGAATTGCAGAGGGTCCTTTTGTTTACTGAGGCTTATGCAAAGTTGTGACTTTGTTCTTCCTAATTTCTTACCAGGGAGTTCATTTAAATGAAACGGGATGAGGGGTGGATACTTCTTTTATTACATAAGAATGTTTACCAACTTCAGGGCAGAAGGTATGAAGTTTCAAGAGGAAGTGTGATTTAAATAGAGCTAACATTTTACTCAATGATGTTATGAAAATTGAATTGGAAAGGGCATATTTGTGGATGGGTAATGTTCATCTAGTAAGTACCAGCATGAATCTCCTTGGTCTTAAAGTAGCGAATGAATCATGGATGCTGGAGGCTCTCCCTACGCACCATCCCTTGAAGGAGAGAAGCTTCCGTGGTCTCAACCCCGGGCAGTGTCCTGAACTAGTGCAGAGTAACTGGAAAACAAGTTTCCCTGAACACAGTGAATGGGAGTTGGCACGGGGTTCTGCTCTGAGTAAGAAATCAGGGGAAGAGGGATTGTCCCCACAGTCAGGAGTATCCAATTTAAGCAAATCATCTGCACAAGGAAGAGGAGTGGGCTTAATGAACATTCAGCACACATTTGACCAAAAAAAAAAAAAAAAAAAAAAAACACTGTCCGTGGATGGAAGTCCAGAAAATACTACACTCCCCATGACGAAAAGCTCTGGCTGTGTGACAAGGCCTGTGTGGAAACCCAGCTCCCTGAGGTGCACGGTGCTGTGGCAGGGCCCTGCAGGGCCAGCCTCATGCATCTCTGCTTCCCACCGGCTTCCACAAACATAAAGCCCTGTTTGTATTTGATTGGCCATGGATAACATGCAAATGCAGGGGTGAAAGAGCACTTTAAGACCTCAGGCATGAAATTTAAAATTGAATCCTGTCAAATCATAGGAACTCAAGTGTAATTCTCATTGTGTGGATGACAGCAGGCTAATTAGTAATACCAGTGAGCGTCCCCCTTCACCTTTAGGGTCACAAGCCAATGTACTTCCCTTGTTTATTAGCGTAACACAAAGGGTCATTATGGTAATCCCACCCCTCCATGGGGTCTGGGTTTTTTTTTTTTTTTGGTCTCACTTTGATTCTGGGTAATAAAACTTTGTGAGTAAATGTATTAATGTAGTACATTTACATTTATAAATGTATTAATGTAGTACATTTACGTTTATAAATGTATTAATGTAGTACATTTATGTTTATAAATGTATTAATGTAATACCTAAATGTATTAATGTAATACATTAATGTAAAATTTTTTGAGTAAATGTAATAATGTGGTTTTGACAATCTGGTAATTAGTATTTATACTGCTTTTGAAAGTATTTGTACATGAAAATTGCTAACATGGTACTTTACCAAATACTGCTGATTGCCTTTCTTGCTTCTCTTATGTAGAAGAGAGAAGGTAAGAGGGAGGTAGAAAGAGCAGACAGGATCCCGGGCACTCTTTGTTTACCAATTATGGTTTCTGTTCAGAAATTAAACTCTCCAAGTATAATTACTTCCCTGTATATCTTCTGGCTAAACTTATCCTTTTTTTCCGTACTGTACTAAACTGCTTCAGCTATTTTATAAAAGCTAAGTATTTCACTAAGCTCTTGCAATATTGAAAGAATCTATATTCTGAGAATTTGAAAACATGTCAGCCCACCTAAATTACATATTGATCAGGTTTAATTGCATGCCACCCATCAGTATTAGGTTTGAAAATTCATAAAAGAGAAATAATGTACTCTTTGTGGATGATTACTTCTGGGGCATTTAAATGAATTCCATCACTTAACCTGGGCTGAGACAGATTATTGAGCCCTGCCATCTAAGCGTTCAAAGACCAGTGCAGTCGAACAACTGTTTTCAACTATCGTAGAACAGCAGAGTGCAAACAATATAAATTTATATAGATTTTCTTTTAAGGAAAATAGCAAAGTAAAACATTAAAAGTAAACATTCATTTTTCAATTGCTTCCTGAATTACCCTGCTCATTGTCTCCTTACATCAGCCTGCATTTTTCATTCTTTTTGGATTCCAGGCATCCTTTTATTTCAAGTAGTAATTCACATCTTAATTAATATACAGTAATCAAAGAGACAAGCAAAGATAAATGATTCACAGCTTAGTTTTATTTGTTAAGGTTAATTTTTTATGCCAGTGCATAAAAGGGTTTTAATGCTGATTCTTCAGGGGACAAACCATTTAATTTTCATAAAAAACTCCGAAGTTTTGCATTGTCTGTGGTGAATACTCTTTCAAAGCTTTCTTCTCACGAAGGTCACACCACCTAAGAAAATGAGTTCATCATTAGTTTTCAGGATGCTCTTTACATTTAGAAATTATGTTTGCTGGTATTGGTTGTGTTTTGAGAAATTGTGCTTATGTATGTTTTTCTTTACAGATTATCAATACAAAGTAAAAAGAGCCAGTTAAAATCATTGGGCTTACTTGGATAATAGTTTAAGAGCTACATTTTATTTAGACACTTTGAGGTAATAAATATCTGTGAGCATAATTAACTGTCTTTATCTAGGTCTAGTCCTGCAGATGCTGCTTTAGGACCTTCCGTTTTGTCTTTTATTAATGTTAACGTTGAGTTTAGCCTGGGAAATTATCTGGGTCTGTGAGGTATGCCAGAAGGACTTGTTTTTAAATAGTGGATTATTATATATGTAGCCACCTAACAGATGCATCCCTTTGTCTTCTCCTTGGCACAAACAAAGCATCATGTTTTATTCCTTATGAAGCAAAGGTAACACTGGCCAAATGAACTCTCTGACAGATCTGACTTCATTGTTTATTTGACTGAAATCACAGCGTGGGAGGTAGAAAATGACTGTTTACAGGGGCCAAGGGGCATGGTTGTATCTTGAGTCCTTACTAAGGTCACAATTGCATCAGGATCCTCTAAGAGAACCTGCTGTCTACTCTAAGACAACTCAGAAAGCACATCTCAGTGTTTCTGCCTCTTGGCTGATGGCAAATGCTGGTTCTAAAGCATGGGAAGAAGGATCGCCTGTACTTAGCATCCAATACTGTGAACCATATCGGTATAGGGGTGTGTGTTGATGTTGTTGTTTTGCTACATTCTTAATAAGAAAATGAGGGGAAGAGAGACATAAATGCCACACCACGATTCTCCTGTGGGAGGCCAGCTTGCCAGACTTCCCACACATGGAGCCAGGTGACCATGCACTCAGATCAACTAAAGTTATTGGAATGTCCTCAACATTGTATGAGAGGAAGGTGGCTTTACTTTGCTAATCTACTACCTATTAGCTAATTAGTTATGCTGTACAAGAACACATTTACTTAAATCATCCACTGGGCAAATAACTTTTTTCCAAGACTCTACTGAAAAACAAGAAAAAATGGTATACCCAGGGAACACTTGGAACTCTCTTTTTTTAGGACCCATGAAATTCTTCTCTGGTAGGTTGTCATTATGAGTCAAGGAAGAATTGATTTTACTTTTGGCTATTCCAACACAAAGCACAAAACAAAGTATTCATGAAAAGAAATTATCTTAGATCATAACTAGTTATAGGGTGAGGGATGTCAGGTGGAGGAAGAGGAAACTCTCTTAATAATAAAAAGAGAGTGAGAACTGAAAATGCACAAAATAAAACATATGCAAAGACGTGAATCAGGATGGCCCTTAAAGAATTCATGCTACATATGAATTATATTTACATAAAGTGGAAATATGTTATAAAGGACTTTGATTGTTCTTTAAATTGTTGGTGGCCCAGGCAAGGTGAGATACAAATGAATGAAGAGTAAACAATGCTCAGTTGCTCATTGGGTTGAAGGTTATTCAAAATCTGAGTCCACTGGATGAAAACCATGCATTAAACCATTCTTGTTACTGTGGTGGTGGTGGTGGGTGATGGTGGTGATGGCATTGGTGTTGATATTGGTGGTGGTGATTGTATTAGTGGTGGTGGTGTTGGTATTGGTAGTGGTGGTGGTAATGGTAGTGGTGGTGATGGTGATATGGTGATGGTGGTGGTGATGGTGATGATGGTGATGGTGATGGTGGTGATGTTGACTGTGATGGTGGTGGTGGTGATGGTGATATGGTGATGGTGGTGGTGATGGTGATGGTGGTGATGGTGATGGTGATGGTGGTGGTGGTGGTGATGGTGGTGGTAGTGGTGATGGTGGTGATGGTGTTGGTGGTGGTGGTGGTGATGGTGGTGGTAGTGGTGATGGTGGTGATGGTGTTGGTGATGGTGGTGGTAGTGATGATGGTGGTGATGATGGTGATGATGATGTTGATTGTGATGGTGGTGGTGATGGTGGTGATGTGATGATGGTGGTGGTGGTGATGGTGGTGGTAGTGATGATGGTGATGGTGATGATGATTGTGATGGTGGTGGTGATGGTGGTGATGTCATGATGTTGGTGGTGATGGTGATGGTGATGATGGTGGTGGTGATGGTGATGGTGATGATGGTGGTGATGGTGGTAGTGATGGTGGTAATAGTGATTCTGAACTGCCTCTTAGGGGCTTAGGGGAAAGCAATGTGCAGAGTTGAAGTCACCTCAGCAGGGTGCCTGGAGATGAGACCAGTAGAAATACAGAAGTGATAAACAGAGCCTCAGGGGAAGGTTCTCCACGTAAGTAGAATGACCAATCTCCAAAAGAATTCATTGGCATTGAAACAGATTCTAACTGTTCAGAATTTTCTAAACGTTTCTCAAAAATGAAAATTCTCCCACTTGGGAAGGCAGCAGAGAAGAGGAGAAACAGCATGCACTCTGATGCATGAAAGCCAGGCATCCAAAACCTGGCTCTCACTAACTGTGTGAGCCTGGCCAGTTTTCTTAGTTTCTCCAATGTCATGCTCTTCATCTGTAAAACAATAATCTTAATAGTTTGGCCAAGTTTATTATTTAGCTTAAAATGGATAATATATGTAAATTGCGTTGTCTAGCATTGGTGCGTATTAGGCACTTTGTAAAAATTTCCTTTCTCACCATCTAATCAATCAGTTATGAGATGTATTACAGAACCTAGACTGGAGGCGGATTATAGAAGGAGTTGGTTTTCCAGTTGCCTATAAATCTATAAAAAAAATTAAGAAGTCCGAATTGTGAAAATAGGGTGGGGGAACGGGGGAATCAAGACTAAGGGAAGCTCATGCTCTTTGAACATCCCATTTCCTTTTGCCTCTGGGGAAAATTTATGTCACTTTCTGCTTTACAACTCTTTGCCACCCTCAGAATCTAATCAAATCCAAGAACTTTCTGTGTAAAAAGCAGCTCGTCTAATGACGAAATTAAGGACCTTTACTTAGTTATACCAATGTCACATTGGAAAATAATATTTGAGACAATGAGAGGAACATGGTGGGCAAATTATTAAACGATTGTGAAATTTCTCTTGGCTTGATTTTAAATTCTAAAATATAAGAAACAATATTCTTAGGCAGTTTGTGCAGTTATTTGAGGATATTTTATATAATGTACCACTTAAGTAATGTTTTTCATATATACTGTGTCCATTGTATTTGTATTAATGGCTTATTTGTTTGTAAGTGAGGGAGGCCTAAATCAAATTAGCTTTCAAGAAAGATACTTTTTTTTTTCTTTTTTTTTTTTTGAGACAGAGTCTCGCTCTGTCGTCCAGGCTGGAGTGCAGTGGCGCGATCTCGGCTCACTACAAGCTCCGCCTCCCGGGTTCACGCCATTCTCCTGCCTCAGCCTCCTGAGTAGCTGGGACTACAGGCACCCGCTACCACGCCCGGCTAATTTTTTGTATTTTTAGTAGAGACGGGGTTTCACCGTGTTAGCCAGGATGGTCTCCATCTCCTGACCTCGTGATCCGCCCGCCTCGGCCTCCCAAAGTGCTGGGATTCCAGGCGTGAGCCACCGCGCCCGGCTCAAGAAAGACACTTTTATTAAGGCAAGTGCCCAAACTGCAACTTTCAGAAGGGAGCAGAAATGCCTGCCTGTAAAGAACTGAATATTTCCATCTTCTATCGTTTCTGGGGTTTTGAATTGGAGAATAGTGGAATAGGAACCCAGATTTTCCCAACCTGTGTTATCTTTCCTTTTGGTTGAGGATGGTAAAAGATATTATGGTTTGGACAAGTATCCCCAGGCAAACTGCATGGTTGGAGTGGGGAGAGAGGAGTTTTAAAATGAACTGCATACTGGAGGAGACAAAATAGGAATTATGTTTGCTTGTTTGTTTTTTTTGAGACAGAGTCTCTCTCTGTCACCCAGGCTGGAGTGCAGTGACATGATCTTGGCTCACCGCAACCTCCTTCTCCCGGATTCAAGTGATTCTCCTGCCTCACCCTCCCAGGTAGCTGGGATTACAGGCGCCCACCACCACACCAGGATAATTTTTGTATTTTTAGTAGAGACAGGGTTTCACTGTGTTGCCCAGGCTGGCCTCGAACTCCTGACCTCAGGTCATCCATCCACCTCGGCCTCCCAAAGTTTGGGATTACAGACATGAGCCACTGTGCCCAGCCAAAAACTATGTTTTAACCGTAAGTTATTTCATTCTCTTTCACAAAAGCCACCAAGCCAAATATTGTATAGTTACTATAAATTAAAATATTAAATTATGATAAGGCTATAAAAGAAGATTCAGCATGTATTTAGGATTTTGTAATAGAACCTGAAGAAATCTGACCAAATATTTAAGATTCAGGGAAATACTCAAATTCGTTTCAGCACCATCCATCATTTATTCTCGGTGCTCTACTCTTATCCTTGAAGTTCTTGGTGCTGTGAAGTTTTGCAGTAACAATCCTCTCTATCTGGCAGATAAATCAATAACAAATAACTTATTCCTTAGTACCTGAGAAGCAAAGCCTACCAAAGTCCTAATTTGATTTCTGGTGTACCAAATTAAAGTGTGTCCACAATAAACCAGCCTCAACTGTTCTCTCATGAATTCCGAAGTGGCTGAGGCCTTCAGGATACTGTAAATATCTCTCTTCTTGAGTGACTTTCTTGGATAAATGTCGTTCATGTCTCCAACCAGCCACAACCACAGGCTATGGACCTCTTACCACTGCTTTATTGCATAGCTCATAGTGGCTAAGTTTGGAAAATAATGCTAAAATCACTAGCTTTGGGGAATAGAGGAAAATAGAATAAAATAAAATAAACTCTTTAGTGTAGCCAATGATTGAACTGGCATGTGATCATAACTACTCTTACTTAATTGAAAGTTCTATCAACATTTAAATATCCTTGTTATGGGTCAAATTGTGTCCCCTCAAAAAGATATTTTAGAATCCCAAACCCTAGTACCTCAGAATATGCCCTTGCTTTGAGACAAGATCTTTACAGAGGTAATCAAGTTAAAATGAGGCCACTGAGGAGGCCCTAGTCCAATATGACTGAGGTTCTTCTGAAAAAAAAAAAATGTGGACAGACAGATGTGGACTATCAGACACTCTTTAGAATATAGAGGGAAGAAGATGTGAAGAGACGCAGGGAGAAGACAGCTGTCCACAAGCCAAGGAGAGGGGCCAAGAACGGGCGGTGGTCCCGCAGAGCCCTTAGGAAGAGCTAAGCAGATGACACCTTGGCTTTGAAATCTCAGCCTCCAGAACGGTGAGAACATAAATCCCTGTTGCTCAGGCTCTTCCACTTTGGTACGGCATCCCTAGGAAGCCAGATAAACCCTGGATGAGCCAAACATCCTAGACTAGTAGGTAAAATATAAAATACTGGGATAAACTCTGTGACCTGAAAACGTGATGCTTTCCTAAACTTACCCAACCACAGAGCGCTTCTATGTTGACATATTCTTTCATTTAATAAGAAACACGTCATTTTCAGGCCAGGCGCGGTGGCTCACGCCTGTAATCCCAGCACTTTGGGAGGCCGAGGCAGGCAGATCACGAGGTCAGGAGATCGAAACCATCCTGGCTAATAGGTGAAACCCCGTCTCTACTAAAAATACAAAAAAATCAGCCGGGCGTGGTGGCGGGTGCCTGTAGTCCCAGCTACTCGGGAGGCTGAGGCAGGAGAATGGCATGAACCCGGGAGGTGGAGCTTGCAGTGAGCCGAGGTCGCGCCACTGCACTCCAGCCTGGGCGACAGCGAGACTCCGTCTCAAAAAAAAAAAAAAAAAAGAAACATGCCATTTTCCAAAATGAAAGGATTGCATGTGCACAGTAGAATATTTCAGACCCCGGATGTCATAAAGAAGAATGCAAAAATCACCATAAATATCAGGATCTGGGGATTCTGGCAGCTTCTTTCTCAAGACAATTTGTCTTTTACACGTGTGATGCTCTCTCAAATTACTATAAGAATACAAATGAAGCTCTTTTAATGTTTCCATTTGTTTCCTTTGTTAACACTGTTTCTCAGAGATGGTTAATTGTGGCCTGTGTATGTGTGAATGTGTGTGGTGTGTGCACAGTGTGTGCACAGGAGTGGGTGTGAGTGTATGCACATGTACACACAGCCCTCGCTCTGTTACCCTACTAATTTTCCTTTTCCTTGGCGAGCTATTGATCCTTGGTTACTGATTCCCATTCACATTTCAGGGTCTGGATTGATCAGCATTGGTCTCTAGGGTTCATTTCCCCAGCTTAGATGTGAGTTCCCATTGCCCTTTCCGGGAATACTTTGGGGCTATTCAGGAAAGAGAAGGGATATGTGGGTGGGTGGCTGGGTAGCATTTCATACTTTTTAGAACGCACAGATAAAATTGACTCCAGGTTTCGAAACACCTGTTTCCTGGAGATTCCCAAATACTTGTTTCCTGGACATGTGATTTGGTTTAGAGGGTGTTCTCCACCCCATCCACACAGTGGAGTCCCTTCACAACCTCCCTTCTATGTGAAGGCATTTTCTGGGGCTGTAGACAGTTTGCCGACCATGAGCATCACCCTCCGAGCTGTGTGGGTCCTGAACAGCCCGGCCGGCCCTGCCCTGAGTGTGTCTGTCCAGAACCCCTGAGCCACCTTTCTCCAGCCCCTCTCCCTGCACTCCCTGGAGTATTGGAAACTGAGTTTGGGCTTCTGAAGAAAAAATTCACGTTTGGAGAACTCCTCTTCTTTTGCCTTTGTGGAGCTGTAAGTTTCTCTGTGTTTCTGACTTTTGTTTCATACCTGAACTTTTCTGCTTTAAAGCTTCCAGAGTTTTCTCATCCTTAAATTTTAGCAGTTGAAGATTTCCTGAATTCCTAGTACTTCTATGTGTGACTCTCCATATGTGTGTGTATCAAATAATAATAGATTATACATAGAAGTTAGTTAATTTAACTTCAGTATATAAGTTAATGAAACTATTTTAAATTAAAATATATATACTTGTATACATAATTTATTATGTATAATTTATTAGTCTCAAATTATATAGAGAGAATAAAATAATTTATAATATACTTAAAAATCTATTTTTTCTAAATTTTAATTTTGCATTGTAACAAGGTTTGGAGAGTAAAAACCAGCAAGCACGTGTGCCTTCAGTGTCGCCTCAGCACAGAGCCCTTCCCCGTAGGCCAAAATCAAAATGATCTCCATTCTTACTGAAACTCCCGTAAATAGAAATTGCGGCTACAGTACATCATTTATTATGTAAGCTCTACTTTGCAGTAGGAATAAGTTAAAGAGGGGGAAATTATTATTGCTATTATTGTTAGGGTATGAAGGAGTTTAGCTGACTACTCCAAGAATTCAACTGATCAGCTTACTATGCAGTGTGCTCATGCACAACTCAGTCCCTGCAGCCAGGAGGGGTCCGGGTTCCCTGGCGTGCACAGCAGCACCCCACGGCCACTGGAAACCCCTCCAGACAGCGCACCACAGTGTCCAGCAGGAGCCCAGCCACGTCCCCCCCACCAGAGCCAGACTGCAGGAGGGGCCCACACCAGAGAGCCCTGAGGAAAACGCGCCTCTCAGTTGATATCCCATCGGCACTGACCCACACTCAACGTCGATGAGCCTCGGAAACAGGATGCTTGGACAAAGAAGCCACGTACAAAGGTCCACACACCTCACAGTCCTATTCATATGAAATGCCCAGTCCACTCACTGCACAGTCCCGTTCATGTGAAATGCCCAGTCCACACACCACACCGTCCCACTCAAATGAAATGCCCAGGATGGGCAAATCCACAGAGACAGAACATGAATTAAAGTGGTTGCCAGGTGCTGAGGGAGGGAAAAGGGGGAGTGAGCAGTGGCACCTGAGGGGCGTGGGGTTTCTTTTGGAGGTGACGAGAATGTCCTGGAGTCAGGTAGTGGTGATAGTTGCATCATCTTGTTACTACACTAACGACCACTGACATGTACACTTTAGAAGGGTGCATTTCATGCTATGTGAATTATACTCAGTAAAATCAAAGTCTGTTCACCCATGAGAACTGGGGTGCTGCCTAATGATTCGAGCACTTCTCCTCTCTCTGCCTTGACAAGCTCATCACCCTAGCTCCACATCTGCACGGAAGTGTGCCTGGCAGACACAGAGTGAAGAGAAAGCTCTCCTGGACTTCTTATCTTTCCCCCAGGAAAGCTGTGGTCTTTGTTGTGCTGAGTCACTGGCCCCGCGAAGCACCTTTCAGGGGTGGCACCCAGCTCCACCACATGCACTGCACAGTTAAACCAGCACACAGCTTCTTGAAGCTTGGATATTACCTGAGCTTTATATTGCTTGGATATATCTGAAGCTTGGTTGTTGCCTGAGCTTTATGTTACCTGAATATACCTGAAGCTTGGATATTGCCTGAGCTTTATATTACCTGGATATACCTGAAGCTCGGATATTGCCTGAGCTTTATATTACCTGGATATACCTGAAGCTTGGTTGTTGCCTGAGCTTTATATTACCTGGATATACCTGAATCTCGGATATTGCCTGAGCTTTATATTACCTGGATACACCTGAAGCTTGGATATTGACTGAGCTTTATATTACCTGGATATATCTGAAGCCTGGCTATTACCTAGATATTACCTGAACCACACATGGAAGCAAACTCCTGGAAATTGGCATGATTAACTTCACTCTGGAATGTCGAGATGTGATGCTGAGATTGAGAAGTGAGTACACGAGGTCGTCAGCAAATGTATTCAAAGTTTCCACGAGAACTGTTACGGATAATCCAGCTCTGTAAAGCTAACCGGAGAAGCAGCTAGAAGCAGGATAAAACAGCACCAAGTCCTCTTCTTGAAGAAAGACAAAGCACTCTCCTCAGAGGCTAGGTGATCTTGTTCTATTCAGAGCACAGGAGACAGAATGGAAGGAAAACACATCTGCACGCAAATCAAGCGTCTCCCCTCCTTGGCTCTCACCTTCTCTGGTGAAGGTTTCCACAACCGGGAGGCACCTGTTCCATGGCGTGGCCAGCGTTCCACATGGCACACTGTGCGTGGAAATGAACGAGATCTACCTTGGCAATGACGGATGCCATGAATGAGGTTTTGGGTGCTTTGTTCCTTCTTGCTTGCAAACTACCTCGATTAGATTCAGTCTTGGTGAATGACTTGTAATTCGTGAGTTACGTGCTCTGGGAAATCTAAATATCTACAAGCTTATTTGAAAAATGTGCATTTATTTCAAGGAGACAGAGCTATAGTTACAGATACTATACTATTTTCTGAGATCTTTCTTGAAGTGTAGCGATGACCAGAACAATTTGGGGATCACCCTGAAGTGATGAAAACCCTTCAAAGAGAAGATATGATGGGAAATATGAAGGAATCAAAGTCCTAGACAGAGAGCTTCTCAGCATCCTCACCTCCTTCCCTGGGTGGGAGACGGATCCCCTCCTATGCACCTAGTGGTGAGGGGGTCTCCATTCCTCTGAAGTCCTGCTGGCTGAGCATGGATTGCACCAGCGTGGGCTGTGGAGATGGACAGCAGTGTGTGAGTCCCATAGCCCTCCGCCCAGGGGAGGACCAGCCGCACCCCATGAGGGCTGCCCTTGGGAGGGGAGCAGGGTAAGCCAGCTGGGCTGTGGGGGGCAGGCTTTGTATGACAAGAGGCGGGGGCCCCTGGCTCCTGCCCACTGGATTACGTGACTGGCTTGTTTGAAGAATTGCACAGACTGGCAGGCTGAGGAAGAGGTGGGGGCGGCTGGTCGGGCTGATAGGGCTCTAGCTGGGTAGGGGCTTACCTGCGGGAAGCAGAAGAACTCACAACTAGGCATTTGGGCCCCGCGAGGCTCAGGCAGGTCAAGGCAGCCACAGACTCTCAGGCCTTCCAGTCCAGGTGGGGCCAGGCTTTGTCCCCACCGAGAGCCGTTTTGCACCCACTCCCTCAGTGCCGCTTGTTCCCTGGGGAATGAGAGGCTGCTCTTCACCCTGCAAGGCCAGGCAGAGCCCGGCGCTGGGGCTGTCCTTGGAAATGTTTATTGTGAAATATTTGTTGAAGCGAATACAGAAACAAAACTGGGATCTCTAAAGTCCACACGTGACTCACATCCCAGGACCCTCTTCTTACGTGTTCAAAAGTGTTGTCCCCAGGCCAGAGGACGGAACGTGGGGTCAGCATGACCTCCCCTCTGGACGTCCCTCAGCCAAAAGTTCATTTTAATTGCAACTCTCAGAGATGTTCATCTAACCGGGTGCTTTTCGCCGTTTGATGGCATTTTAGACCCTCGCCTTATCTATTCCATTTAATCAGGAAGTGCCCACCCCTGGACTTTCTCCTGTGCTTATCTTCCAATCACAGGAGCTTTCTATGAGCCCGATTCCTACAGACCCTGCTCTGTGAGGTCACTACCACCCGCTACACAAAACATCAATTTACATATCGTTTTAAATGCGTGAGTGCTGGCATTGACTTCTTAACTGGTGGTAGGGTGAGAGCTGGGTGGCATATTTATCTTTAAGACCACGCTGAATAAACAACACTGGGTGTGCTAATGCATGAGTGAATGCTACTAGGTTAGGGCTTCTGCAGAGGAGACACCTTTCTAGTAAGAGATACAAGACTGGGGGTGCCAGACCTGTGCCTGTCACCTGGGAAGACCAGCGCATGAGTGGGCAGGGTGGGCAGACTCCTGGTGCTCCAGGCACACTGTCCTCAGTGGCTGTCTACTCCCTCTTGAAACTGAGGAGCCTGAACTCATAGCAGAGTAGTTTTCACTATCGATCGATGACAGTGTAAATGCATAAATAGCTTTTTCCCCAAGATTTGCAGAAAAATAGATCTCAAGACTGCATTAGTTTTGCCCTTTACCCGGAATCATAAATGCATTCTTGAATCTGTGTCGGCAAATCTCGAAAAATAAAATTATTTCAAAAGTATGCGTGGCTGGCTGGGTGCAGTGGCTCATGCTTGTAATCCCAGCATGTCAAAAGGCTGAGGTGGGAAGATTGCTTGAGCCCAGGAGTTTGAGACCAACCTATACAACATAGTGAGACCCCGTAGTGCATGCCTGGAGTCCCAGCTACTCGGGAGGCTGAGGTGGGAGGATCACTAGAGCCTGGGAGTTTCAAGGCTGCAGTGAGCTATGATTACACCACTGCATTTCAGCCTGGGCAAGAAAGTGAGACGCTCTCTCTCTCTCTCTCTAACATATATGTATATGTATTTTATATATATATACATATATATTATGGGTGTTGTATGTACATGAGGCCATCATCCCTTAGAAGGCAAATATATTCATGGTGGGCATGAAATTGTGAGTGCCACTATTATTAGTTAAAGCACAGGTTGAGTACTAATGCTGCCCAGATACTTCTGACACGTGATTTTCGCTAGATATTAGGATAGTAGATGCTATATAAATACTATAGAATAATATCTATATTACAGATGCATGCTTTGGTGTTATGATGACCTGAATTTGAGTCCTGAGTCTCCAATTCGTCTTGTGGCTTCTGAAAATTGGTGCCATATTGGGTGGATAGAGCTTAAGCCATAAGTTTAGTCAGAACTGAATGAGAAAATTATTGGAAAGTGGGAGCTCCGTGTGTGCACCTTGCAAACAACATTATGATGATTTAGGATAACAAATAATAATGTCATCTATTGCACCTCCAATGTATTAAACATCAATTTACAGTTAACAAACTAAAAAATAACATTATGGAACTTGTCTTTCTTTTACACCTAGCTGATCGGCTGCACAGATCTTAGCTTTCATGCCAAGCTTTAGTCATCCCCTCAGTCTTCAGTCTGACGTACTATGGGAGCTAATTCAGCAACAGTCACCATCCATTTGCCCCTTTAAATTCCACAGCCTCCTCCCAAACCATGGTTATCTGTTCAGTTACTTTCAACTCTGCTTGCTTATGTCTGGTTAGGCTACAGGCACCTATCTAGAGAAATACGGCATTTCCATCAAGCAGCCTGACCTTCTCTCGGTGAGCTACACACCGGCCAGGTTTCTGCTAGTCATTCGGTGAATGTGGAATGTCTGGTAGCCACCTGGAGGTTTGTATGCTTTTCTCCAAAATGAGAACTAACTGATCCCTTGAGATTGTCCAATTCTAATACTACACGATTCTAAGGTAAGAGTAATTTTCATAAACTCACTACTGATGAATAATACTGGTGGTTTTTTTTTTTTGGCATTGAAGAACAGGCCTTTTGTGCCCTATGGTGAGTGACTCGCAGTTCCACCTGGTTCCAAAAGGGACTCGAGGCAGTGAAACCTGGCAATACCCAACAGAGTCCACAGGAACACTGAACCCAGCTACATTCTCTCTGTGCTGCCCCATAGCATGAGAAACACTTTCATTAATATAGGAATTAAGAAATCTTTGAAGACATTCTACTGTACTTATATTTAACTCTCTAATGTTTATAAACATAAAATACATACTTTATGCTTCCGACAACCTTTGCTTTCTACTGACATTGCCAATACAACTTCATCTAATGCATTAAAAACACAACCAGATTATTTTTCCAGATTCACATCCACTTTTACTCAAATTACATAGAATATGGGGGCAAATGTGTGTTTCCCAATAATTAATTTCCTGGATTTTCAGGACAAATTCTGCTGGAGAAACCTGGTGGAGGACAAGCCCATGCCTTTGGTGAAGGGTAACTGTCATAATTAACTTGGTGGTCAGCAAAGACCAGCCGCTATCTCAGCAAACTAATTTAGATTAGTCTGTATTTTATTTTCTTTTTGTCCCTAGATTTTTACACTTCCAATCAGATAATTGTACCATGGGTGAAAGCCAGTGTTCCCCCACGAAGAGTCCTGGGTTGTGAATAAAGAGTTCAACCTCAAGCCAGCAGGGTGAGCTCACATTCCACTCTGCCTCTCTCCGTGTTCACACCTGTGACATGAAGAGGCTGAATCTCCAAGGCTCAGTTGAGCTCAACATTTCTATGGTGCCATTTCTACATTTGTCATCATTCACAACAGGACCTGCTTGCCATCTTGGGCTATTCAACCTCCAGTCTATATTTGGATGCAAGGTGCTTTGAAACTGTGTTTAAGGATTATCTTAGGGCAAAATTCAAATGGAGTGCTATGTAGCAGTACAGCTGTAAAGTGGAATTGGCTTATAATCTCAGAGATCAAAATGAACACAGCCATTAAGAAACCTTATTCTTGTTTGCATAACCCTCTTAGTGAGTTTGCCTTGTGCTGGATATATAATCCACAAGATAGATGATTTCTGCCAACCATTACAGAGTGTTTATCAAATGCAGAAAGATTTTGCACAGTACATCTGTAAGTATTTCTCTTTGGAATTGAAATGGTTTGTCCATTCTTTGACATCAAGACCAGGAATTACCATTGTTCTTTTCTCTTCCCCCCCAGACAAGATCATAACTGGAAGCTGATGCAATCCAGGTATATGTTGGAGGACATTGATCTCTGTTTGTCTTCCTTTTTAGCATCTAGAACATACTTGTCATGTATACTAAAACATAAAATTTATTCTCTTCATAAAGTTTTACTAAATCAGCTGCAGAGGAAGATGTTATTGGCAGCTTTTTCATTACTGGCTATGGTAAAGCTGAAGTGTCTGATTATTTTTGTATTTAGGGCTTGTCCTATGTCTTGTGTGTTCAGTGATAAATAGAAGGCCATTTAGAATTCATGTTTCCCCTGAAACCTTTGTTATTCTTCGGAAGATCATTTTAAATTTACTTTATAATGCTTTTTAGGTATCAAGTGCTTTTAATTTTACAGAATCATGTTTCCAAGCTCTTTCACTATTATTAAAGATGTGTGAGATGTGTGTTATGGGAACTTAGAAAACAACAAAATTTTTTTTTTGTTTTTTTTTTTTTTGTTTTTTTTTGAGACGGAGTCTCGCTGTCGCCCAGGCTGGAGTGCAGTGGCGCAATCTCGGCTCACTGCAGGCTCCGCCCCCTGGGGTTCACGCCATTCTCCTGCCTCAGCCTCCCGAGTAGCTGGGACTACAGGCGCCCGCTACCAAGCCCGGCTAATTTTTTGTATTTTTAGTAGAGACGGGGTTTCACCGTGTTAGCCAGGATGGTCTCGATCTCCTGACCTCGTGATCCGCCCGCCTCGGCCTCCCAAAGTGCTGGGATTACAGGCGTGAGCCACCGCGCCCGGCCAAAATTTTTTGAACAGTTCATAGATTGGTGTAAGATTAGCATTACTCTAACAAGTACTTATCAGATGGATTTCAGATAAGAAACAGCAAACAAAATTATAAAATGGGATTTGGAAAGAAGGAAGATTTTAAAATATTTTGTTTCTTTTGCTGCCTCCAAACTTGAAATTTAAAATATACAACCACATTAAGGCATAACTGTCTTCTATTAGAAAGAACAATGAATGTAGAGTCAGAAAATCTGCAGAAGAATCAACCTTCTCTGTACCAGGAGGTGACCCTAGGTCAGCTTTGTAACTCCTGGAGGTTGCAGAGTGTGTGATGATCAAGCAAAACGTCATGATGTCAGGTAGAACCACGCATGCAGAAGCTGGTTAGTGAGTGTTTGTGGAGCAAACAAATCAATGAGCACAGAAATATAAACGTCATAAATTTTAGGAAAATGAGGGACCTTTCTCATGACTTTCAATTTACTAAACAACTACTTGGCCCTCTTAGCATTGCTCAGGAAAATCATTAAATAATATTAAATCATCATTACTGTCTCCATAAGTGTCTCATCCTGAAATATGAAACACAGAAGAACACTTCATACCACATCCTGAAATCAGGAGCCCGTGCACTTGTGAATTTCCATTTAGGGATGATATGTTAAGCCAGCAATTGTTTCCTGACCGTGATATTTACTACGCCCTTCACACGTCTCTCCTAATATGGTTTAAGCTGCTCTGGATTATGAATGTATCTCTTTAAGGCAGCGGTCCCCAACATTTTTGGCACCAGGGACCGGTTTTGTGGAAGACAATTTTTCCACAGACTGGGAGCGGGCATGGTTTCAGGATGATTCAAGCACATTACATTTATCATGCACTTTATTTCTATTATTATATTGTAATATATAATGAAATAATTATACAACTCACCATAATGCAGAATCAGTGGGAGCCCTGAGCTTATGTTCCTGCAACTAGATGCTCCCATCTGGGGGTGATGGGAGACAGGGACCCCTGCTTTAGGGTACATTCTTTGATTCCATAAAATTAATTTCATATGTCTCCAGAACTCAAGGACAATTTTTTTATTTATTATTTTATTGCATTTCAACTTTCGTTTTAATAACCATTATTATTATAATATTAATATGTTTAGTATTATTGTTATAAAGCAGAGGAGAAAGTAGAAATCTGTATTTGCTGCTTTCTACGTGCCAGGCAATGTGCTGCACAATGTAGAATAGAATCTGATTTATTCTTCCCACAGCCAATGAACTAGATCCCTGTTTCACAGATTAGAAAACTGAGACCCAGAGAAACTAAGAAAATTTCCAAGGCAAGTAGAAAGGCCAGGAAGTTAACTCAAGTCATGTGACAGTTTACAACCACTTTCACGTCATGGTCCTGAATTTCAATTTTTAAATTTATCGTTGTTATAATCACAGGTACCTTGATTCTCTAAAGCGATTGAAATAAGGGAGCGTATGTATACACATAATGGAAAAATAAGCTTATTTTCAATCATTAACAGGGTGCAAAAATTAAGTGTTCATATATGTGTCTAAGGATCTGGATTAATTGTGAGTGGATTTTGGTAATCAAGAAAAATGGCTCATGAATTGCCCTCATATGAAAATTTTATTTCAAAAAGTGAATAGTAATGGATCTCAAAAACTGATTTCTCCTGTCCAGCTGAAACTGAGCCATTAAGCCAACATCTCCTCAGTTCCTCTACCCCACCAGGCTCTGGTAAATAAACATTGTTCTACTCTACTTCTATGAGTTCAACTTATTTTGGATTCCACATATAAGTGAGATCAGAGAGTATTTGCCTTTCTGTGCCTGGCTTATTTCACTTAGCACAGTGTCCTGCAAGTTCATCCACGTTGCTGCAAATGACAAGATTTCCTTCTTTTTATGGCTGAGAAGTATTCTTTTGTGCACATATACCACATTTTTTAATCCATTCATTGGTGGATGGACTCTTGGGTGGATTCCGTAACTTGACTACTATGATTACTGATGCAACAAACATGAGAAGGCAGATGTGTCTTCAATGCCCAGATTTCAAATCTTTGGATCTACACTTAGAAGTGGAATTGTTAGATCATGTGTTCATTCTGTTTTTAGTTATTTAAGGAATCACCATACAGCTTCCATAATGGCTGCAGTAATTTTTGATATACACACATCAACTCAAAATGGGTGAAAGACTCAAACCTAAGACTAGAAATTGTAAGACAACGAGAGGAAAACGCAAGGGCAAAACTACATGGCAGTGGTCTGGGCAAGGATTTTTTTGGATTTGACCCCAAAACTCAGGCAACAAAAGCCAAAGTAAACACATGGTATTACATCAAACAAAAAGACTCCTGCACAGTGAAGGAAGCAATGAATGCAGTGAAGAGGACAATCCACAGATTAGGAGAAACGATTTCCAAGCCATAGCTCTGAAAAAGGGTTACTATCCAAAATACATGAAGAACTCCAACAACTCAATAGCAAGAAAACAACCTCATTAAAAATGAACAAAGGACCCAAATAGACATTCTCAGAAGAAGATGAATAAATAGCCAACAGATATATTTAAAAATGTTCAACATCACAAATCATCAGGGATATGCAGATTAAAACTACAATGAGATGTCACCTCACTCCTGTTAGAACAGCTGTTTTATCAAAAAGACAGAAGATCACAAGCGAGGATGTGAAGGAAAGGGCACACTTAACAATGTTAAGTGTTCTGAGATCTATCTGCACAACATGGTAACTATAGTTAATAGTAGTGTATTATACATTTTTAAGTTGCTAAGATATCAAATTTTAAATGTTCTTACAACAAAAAATGATTAGTATTTGAGGTGATGGATATATTAATTAGTTTAATTTAATCATTCCACATTGTGCACACACATCATAACATCCCTTTGCACACCACAAATATATAGAATTATAATTTGTCAACTTACAATAAAAATATTCATTTATTATACCTGGGTAAAGCCTTCTAGTTGAATTTCTAGAAATTAAAAGGAATGAAATTATTACCTGAGTAAAACATCCATTTTTAAGTCAAATAGCTTTTATTTCTTTGCCTTCAACAAATTGAAGGACATAAATTATTAGTTTGCATATCACAACTGACAAAGATAGTTTTGATGATACCTCATTATGTGATTTTTCAAATAATTTAGTGACATTGTCATAACAAAACTCTTGTCATCGAAGAAAAGAAAAAAGGCCAATCGCAGCTTTGGTTTTTAATAGACAAAGCATTCGTTAGTAATGCAAATATTCCTTCTCCTCTTCCATCCTCTTACCCACATCAAACTAAGTATTTAAAATATCTAATGATTTTTAAAGTCAGAAAGAAGGAAGGGAATAGCTCCATGACTAAGAAAGAAGTGTCTGGATGAGAATTACCAAGCGTGAGACATAAACACCATCTCAAAGGTAAGAAACTTGGTTTGAAGAAAGGCAAACCTGGTTAACAGGGCACGTTTTATTTGAGGAGTAACCTTGGTATAAATTTCGTGCATTCTCAGCAGCAGAGGTCCACCTAAAACGGTCCCCTGGCTGTCACCATGGATTGTCAGCATTGGGTGAATAACACCCTCAGCGAGAGACACCCAGTGGAGAGCCTGCAGCACTAAGTGGTTTTTTGAGCAACTCAGGGTGAAAACAATTTCACTGTGTCAGGGAACCAACCACATACATGACAAGAAGGCAACTTCATGCCTGTTGTGTCCAGTGGTGGCCTCTGCAGAACACCGTCTCTTGCCACCACCCTCAGGAGCATGAGAATCCATTTTTTCTACAAGCTTTCTCACTCAGTTCTGGAGTCTTTACAGTAGTAGTACTTGTAATTATAAAAGTGAAACTAGCTAAGCCTTCTTGAGTGCTTGACATGTGTAAGGGGCTGAATGTTCTACATGGATTATCTCATTTCGTCTCTCAATGGCCTCCTAAGGGCAAACTGTTACAGACTCATTTCAAAGGTAATGCAATCAAGAATTCCAGAGATCAAAAGAATTGCTCATGATCAGAAAAAGGGCCATATCTCAAACCCCAAGCCAAACCCTAACCAAAGCCATATCTATAGGATCCTGTAGCTAAAATAACACCAAGGCACAACCATCCCTTAAAAATGATAGCTCTTTCTATATAAAAATTAAATTTGGTGGGTTTAACATGACCATGTATCTCTGATGGCTCCATAATCACGACTACAAATTACAATGAAGGAAGAAAAATGGAAGGAAATAACCCATGTGAGGACAGAGAAAATAGTAGAGGTGGCAATTGCATCCAATACAGTTCATTGAACTTACATGCTGGGGAGAGCATGGCTGGGCCCTAGAGGACCCAGTGGGGGATGGAAGTTGCAGGTATGTGGCCTGCAGATGCCTCACCCTGCAGAGTGCTGGACAAGACAGGAGCCTATGGAAGTTCCTATAGGGAGCCATGGACCCTCCAGGTCCCGTCGCCTCCTTGGGCACCACACCTCCAGGAGGTGTATTCCCTGAAGAAATTAAGCTTGGATTTGGAAACACCAAGCATAGAGAAGAGCAGAGGGGCAGAGAAACAGGCAGGTGATGTCAACACTTGTGTAAGGACCAGACAGGGCCTCAGCTCTCTCTTCTCTTCTCCCACCTATTGGCAGAACGGGTTGCTCACAGAGGAGCCCATGTGGCAAGTTCTCTCTAGACACACATACACACGTACACACACGCATATACACATGCGCACACATAAACGTGCACAAATATACACATTTGCACATACACATATACATGCACACACCCAGGCGCACGCACGCACACACACACACACACACACACACGCTAAAGCAAATGTTAGAAAATTCCTCTTTGCACAAAACTGTCCCAGAAAAAAAAAAGGTGGTTTATGACATTTGGGTTTTCCACAAAGTAAGAAGGACCATCTCCCACTGAATCTTGCTGTTAACCCCCTCAGTAAGCTGGCCTGTCTGCATGCACAAAGCTGACAGTCACAGCAGACTCAGCCACCGGACATCAGCAGGAGGCTTCCCATCCATGGGACAGAGAAAGTCAAGAAGTTCAGGAGACACATAAACCTTTACCTCTCCCAGCTGTGGTTAAGAAGATGCAGGCCTCTGGAAGTGCAGACACAAGTGGTATAAGCATTCCTGCAGGGTGGTTTGCAGCTTTGAAATTTTACATTCCGATAATTCAGATATAATATTCACATTCACATATGACATGCCACCCCTAGAGAGACCATGTCCCCGGACTAGTGTTTTCTTTGTGGATATGTGTGTTTGTGTGTGCATGCATGCTTTTGAATGTGTTTTAACAAAAGCTAGGAAGAGACAGCATGAAGCTAACACAAATCCACCTCCTCTAAGACCTGAAAGAAGCTAACAAAGGTTCCACACGGGCATTGGTGGAGGCCTGGACTCAGGAAGATGTAGCAAACTTGTGTTTGTTGGAGGTGGAGGGCAGGAAAACCCAGCAGCCTGGGGTTTTTTTTATATATATAAGATAATACTATATTATATTATTTTATATATATATATTTTTCTCACACACATCCCATTATGTTCCACTGGCTCTGTTTCTTTGTTTTTATATTCCATTGGGCAACCTTACAACCTTAAGCATAACATATTTTTTTATGAGACAAGCTCTTACTATGTTGTCCCGGTTGGTCTCCAACATCTTGCTTCAAGCAATCCTCCTGCCTCAGCCTCCTAAATCACTGGGATTATAGGTGTGAGCCACCACACCCAAACTAGAGTAGCATTATATTTTGAGAAATTTTCCTTGTGCTTTAAAACCTTTATACATGCTTATATTCCTTGATCCAACAATTCCTCTAGGGAGACTTGAATCTAAGTCAATATTCAGAGAATGCACACAAATACAGGCACCAATTTGTTTCCCTCAGTGCTGTCCATAATAGTAAAACACCGGAGAAAAGAAAAAATTACACATGTTGGCTACTGGATGAAATGATAGGCAACTATCAAATTAGTGATATAGATGTATATTTGACCTCAACATGATGTTTGTGATTTATTACGTGAAGGAAGCATGTTATAACAATGTTTAGAGTATGTGTATTGAAGCGTAAGTGTGTATGATTTTTCCCTAGTATTCATTTAGTTATAGTGTACTCAGGAAAAAAAAATGAAACCATTACTATTTGAAAACAACAAAAGCAAATTTCATAGGCAACAGCCATGTACATAATTTAGGGGTAGATATACCTAGAAATTTCTGAGCCTATTGAAAATATCCCTCTGCTCTTTAATCCAAGAAATCAGGGTTGCTTCCCCAGGTTCCCAAATTCCTGGAGTGTCTTTTTAGTGCTGTAAGACAGCAGCTGAAGCATTCAAGGAGATTCAGCACCCAGACTGTCCATACCATCCCAGGCCGATGGCTCAATCCCCTGTGCCCCTAGCAGGGCCCTGCTCTAGAGGCTGCACGTCTGGGCCTCTGGAGTCTGATGGGCCTGGGCTCAGACCCTTGTGCTTCTCTGCACCCACGAGCAGAAGACCGGGGTGGATTGTTTTCTCAGAGCTGCTGTTTGCGAATTCTGGAGATCATTTGTGTGGATTAAATGAGACAACAGATATTTGGTATCAGCATATAGAAAAGTTAGATGTTCTTCAAGGGGGACTTATTCTGCATAAGCTATCTTTTGGGGGCAAATGGCACATTGTAGCTGGTTTAGCCCATGGCAACTGTTATCATTGAAAACCCATGCAGCTTTCTTCCAAGTCTCACCCCGTGTGGCTCTGTGTGAGGCGCACACTCTATAGGTGGCTCATTCACTTTTTTTTGGTTGAGGAGAGAAACATGGTACCACGCACGCGTGCAATGTGAAAACCTATATCAGATCCCCCCTTTCAGAAATGGAAAGCTCCTTAACTAAAATTGTTTTATTTTGGTGTAAAGGGCAACCATCCTGGTGCCCCCACTTTTCCAAAGCTCCTTGCTTTGTCCCCATTTGGTTGCATCAATGAGGTATATTTGGAAAATTATAATTCTTAAGTAAGCGTGTGGCTTTCTCTATGAAGATTTATGAAATAAATGTTTTGCTTAGTTTTTCTTCATGTATTGTTCCTTAAAAAGACAAACCACTGGCCAGACATGGTGGCTCACGCCTGTAATCCCAGCACTTTGGGAAGCTGAGGTGGGCGGATCACAAGGTCAGGAGATAGAGACCATCCTGGCCAACATGGTGAAACCCTGTCTCTATTAAAAATTAAAAAAAAAAAAATTAGCCAGGTGTGGTGGTGCGTGCCTGTTGTCCCAGCTACTGAGGAGGCTGAGGCAGGAGAATTGCTTGAACCTGGGAGGCAGAGGTTGCAGTGAGCCAAGATCATGCCACTGCACTCCAGCCTGGGTGACAGAGTGAGACTCCATCTCAAAAAAAATTAAAAAAAATAAAAATAAAGGACAAACCACTTTAATGACTGTCACATGATTTGCAACAGTGAGATTTATGATGGAATCACCACTGCGCGCACGTGAAGGCTGCCTTTGTCCTGGCCCCACCCCTCTGGGAGGTGGTGCACCCTGAGGCCCTGTGGGACGTTTCTTATTGGGTGAATACCATTACCTCGTGTTGTCATAGGGTATGATGTATTGATAGCTATGTCTGAATTTTAATAATATTGTCTTGTAAGAAAAGGCAGGGAGAAACCGGGGATATATTATCATATTGAATAATGTTAGCTCTCTACATGTAATACACAATCTTAAAATAATACTCAAGATTGGCTGCAGAGTCATATAATTGTAAAGATTTGTTAAATAGTTTATTTTTTAATGTGAAGTTTTACATATTTCATGGAAAATATCTTAAATTAGTCAATGATATTATATATTATTTATATGTAAATTATTTTTATATGATTTTTCATATATGATATGTCATTACTTTTCATATATCACTATATATAAATTTAATCATCAGATGGATTTTCTGATCATAAAAGCAAGGTATAATATAATCTTGCTTTAATTTAAGTTAATCTAGCAAACTTTAAGCTCAATTCTTTTGTTATTATGACAGACAACCTAGGATGGATTGTTTTAATCTTTATTTCAGAATTAAGGGACAATTATTGCCTCTGGTATTTCTGAACTCTGACCCTGGTTTCCTCATCTGAAAAACGGGAATAGAAAATCCTAGCTCATCTGTTTCTTGGGAGCCTCTGATGTGTCCAGTACCACAGGCAGCCCTGAATGGGAGCTTTCTTCCCATCTGAAATCAGTTCTGGCAGATTTGGCCGCACTCTTCTGGGTCTCAAGTGCTGTGTGCCCTGGATAAACCTTCACTGAAATTCTAAGTCCCCTCACACTTCTCCCAGGGATTAGGGGGGCTTGAGAGCCAGGGGAGCAAGCAAACACTTTTTCTTGTTTCCTCTTTCATTCTTCAACTCCAACATCCCCACCAAAGTTCTCCCTGCCGTCCACTGCACTTGTAACCGTGGACAGGACCGTGTTTATGTTGTCAAAATTTAATAGCTTTTATGCGTCCTGCCTAAGTCTAGCTAAGACTTTAGCAAATATGATACCCTATTATTTTTCAGGAAAAAACACAAAGAACAAAAAACACTTTCACAAATGCCCACCCCCCCACACCCCTGAGGACTGTGTACCCTGCCTTCCTCACGGGCACCCAGGCTGGGGCCTTCTTCTTGGTGACCCCCGGGCTCAGGGACTCGCTGGCCACTGTCCCAGCCCTTCATCGCCAGGCGTCTCCTTTCTAGGAGTGTCCCCACCTGCTGTGCCCCCCCGGCTAATTCCGTCCTCTCAGAACACACAGAATGACCCCGCCTTGCCTCCAAATTCCCTCCCCCAGCCCATTTCTCTGCCTCCACACTCACAGCAAATGTCCCTTAACGAGGTGTCCACAAGGCCTCCCAGGTCCTCACCTTACACTCTCGAGTGCCCTCTCTAATCAGGCCCCACAGGAAGCACCTGAGTCCACGAAGATCAGCCCCCAGTTCTCAATCCCAGGGGCCCTCCATGCTCTTCTTGCTCTTCTCCCCAGGAGCAGCACCGGGCTTGCCAGGCTTCTGCTCCAACAGGCTTTCCCCAGCTGGGCCCCAGGAGACCACCACTGTCCATGCCCAGCCACTCACTGGCTGTGTTTGCAGCCCCAGCCCCACTCCCTGGGCAGACTGTGGATGCTGCTTCCTCATTAGCTTCTTCAGCGTCCCGCTAGAGCATAAGCACAATGGCTGCACGGGGTTTGGCTGATGATTTGACTGTGGGATCCCCAAATCCCACAAGTGTGTCTGGTACACAGTAGAGGGTAACTACTTAATAAAGTAAGGAAGCACAGAGTTTCCCACGAGCAGTGATGATTGTTCATGGCCGCGCACATTATCTGTGTGTGTGTTTTCATGTATGTTTACACACGTGTTTATGTGATGTCATATGTGCAGCTATATGTGCTTGCATGATTAAATGTGTGTTGACCTGCACACTTACACGTGTGCCTGTGCCCTCACGTGTTTGTGTGTGCCGTCATGTATGTTATGTGTTTGTATAGTTATATGCATGCTTATATGTGCATGCTTGTGTCTCATGTGTTTGTGTGTCATGTGTGTTTAAATGTGTGTTTGTGGGTTTCCATGTAGGTTTATGTTCATACGTGCATGTTTGTGTACTTTCCTGTTTGTGTGTTTTTTGTGTCTTTTCCATGTATTGGTGCATGCTTACATGTGTGTTCATGTGCATATGTGTGTGTGAGTGTCTATGTATGTGTGCTTACATGCTTGGACGGAGCCTTTGTTGCTTGCCAGTCATGGTAGTAGGAACATTACGTTGAATCTCACTTAATGAGCTCTTGTCCCTCTAGAATGCACAGATATTTTTAGAGGAACTTTCTGGACTCAAGTGTTCCCAGATCAGAAAGTAAGAACTGACCTGCATCATCCAAATTTCAGGCGATTGTAAAAGAAAAAGCAAGAGAGAAGTGACGCTCGTGCAAAGAGCATTCCCTGATTCCCAAAGCAAAGCACGCCTGCCTGATTATGAGGCGGGATTTAGAAAACAGTCTGCTTTGGTTTGTACAATTTACAACTGAATAGCCATGGCTACTATATACCTTCCTCTTCTCCTTCTCCTTCTCTTCTCCTCCCCTCCCCCTCCCCTCGCCTCCCCTCCCCTCCCCTCCCCCTACCCCCTTCCTCCTCCTCTTCCTCTTCCTCCTCCTCCTTCTTCTTCTTCCTCTTCTTCTTCTACTATTGTTGAAAATAAATTGGGAGGTGTTTTTTTATTCCCTTATTCACTTTTCTTATAATTGCCCTTTTTCGCCTAGACAGGGAAAACAGTCGTAGATAAGGATTTCCAAATAGAAAGAAGTTTCTCCCCATTCTCACTGAAAACACCTTATATCCTTTGTTGTTGTTGTTTGAAAGAATGAAAACCATTTCATCCACATTCGAGCTTTACAGCCCCAGGTACATAAGGCATTATTATTCATGGCAATAAAGAACGGAACTAAGACTCATGGAAGATATTTTCTTTTTTTATTTATGTGTAATTTTGGGCAAAACAATTAGTAGATTACAGGGCCAAAACTTGAAGGCTTGTAAATGTAAATGTAAAATGTTCAGTTTACTGTCTCTATCCTCTACCTCACTTCAGATGTGGACAACTGAAATGAGGGACCTGTGAACATTATTAAAATTTTAAAATTAATTAAAGGCCCATTTTACATTGCAGTCTTCTATCTGATTTTTATTATTTAATAAACTACATTACTCTAAACTTTCCAATAAGTTTCTTTCTTTTTTTTTTGTCTGAACAGTTATAAAAAAGTAGTACTATTTTGAAGTAGAGAACACATTGTGGAAAGAACCTACTTAAATATTCTGAGAATATTCTCCTTTATACAAATTCCAGCTCAGTACAAGGCGTTTTCAAAAAGCCATTAAAAAGCGGAGAAAGTGGAATCTGAAATGTGTCAGTGGAGGCAAAGGGAAAATAAAATATACTATTGTCCAAGTGTGTGGTTCTCTCTCTGTTCCTGAGAGCCACCACTTTATAAATGTTTCCTTGATCTTTGCCTTAACAAATGCATCCATTCAGGCAACTGTTACCTGCTAAATCGAGTCTGTCTGTTCATCAGAAACAGGCAGAACATATTGCTGAGAGCACCTGGCCTCCTCTCCCCTCCCGGCAGCTCCATCTGGGTAAGAGGCCTCGGGAGGCTGACTGGGTGAGCCATGGAAGGCCCTGGTCATTCTGCCTCATGGATGCTCCCAGGGGTCCCCAGCCTCCAAGCAGGGATTCTCATGACTGGGAGCCAGTGTGGATCACTGGGTGTTGTCTGAAGTCACCCTCTATTTGCGGCTGATGTCATGGACACAGTCACACTGCCATCTTCACCTGTTCCGTGTCCTTCTCCAACCCTGCGGGGACCTGGACACAGCTCCACGCCACCTCCCAGCAAGACCCTGCATCGTGGGTTTTGGGAGAGTGTCATGCCTGTGAGGCTAGCAGGTAGCTCCACTTGCAGGTCCTCTGGATGTCGGAGTTTTCACTCTTCTGGGGAGAGTGCGGAACAATCCTTCAGGTAGCACAGTCTTATTCTGATTGGAGAGAAAACAATTTCACCTTTGAAGCATGCCTGAAGAATGGGATGGTCTCAGCACTTATTTTGAAAAATGGTTCTGTTTCACCCACCAGTGGAATATTGAAGTAATCGAATTTTGTGGCCCTTACTGCAGCTCTCAGTTTAATTACTTGTTTGTCTTTTATTGGGAAAGAAAATATGGCTGTCAGGTTTATGGGGGCAAAAAGCTGACCCTGTTTTATCTGTCCTTGCATGCGCCTCCGTGTAATGATGACAAAATGGGATGTTAACTAATGATTAGTAGAAATGGTTGCAGTTAATTAGTTGGTTCTTCGTTTATCGTTCCATTTGCACATTTTGGGAGTAATCATTATTAATTAGGACCATCATGCCGAAAGGGTCGAGGTGGAACCCTACAGCCAAGTTAATCAGGCAGCAATGAAAGCTCCATTATCTTGTCAGATCATTTTGGCCTGTGATCTATTTGCATTATCTAAAAGCCGCATTAGGATCAGAAAGAAAATAAAAGAGAGTCCCGTTTGATAGGGTTTCGCTTGGATCAGTGGTTTCATATGGAACTTCTGCACTTGCTGTGCAAACTTACAAGAACCTGTCATTGTCAGAAGGGAACACCCTGCATCGGGGAATGTCTGTTCTGCTCCTTGTCTAAGGGAGGAGACTGTGTGTTGTGTGTCCTCCTGGCTCTGCTCTCTGCAAATAAATGACACCTAGAATTTATCCCAGAATGCCTAAGGTTTGGATTATACTTTATGATTCCCGAGGCTGAGGCGAGTAGAGATTTTGACTTGTGTTTGATTCAAATATCTGATTGTCTTTCAGGTTTTCTTGAGTGCTGAAGACCAACCTTGGAAAGCACCAGGTGATGGAGCTGAAAACTGGAACAGCCTTGAGACTTCTCTTAACTGACAGGAGCATTTGGGGCAGAAATACAATTAAATGCTCTCGATTTGATTTGATCCATCAGCAAAGTCCTCTTGTAATTTTCCTCTTTTTTTCTGGGGAAGGGGATAGACTGAGTTTGTAAACTTTGCTTTAGTTGTTAAATGAATAAAGACAGAGCTGGAAGTAAAAGCAGAGATAACTGGGAGAAAACAACACTTGTTTATCTCAAAGAAACAGAGTTGCCTTCAATCTCAGAGGACTTTCAGTGTGTTCCTCAAGAGCAACTAATCCTGTCTTCCCTGGTCCCCCAAGCATGTCTGTCCCTGGAGACGGTTTTCCAGGCCGACCTGTGGGGTGTTGATTGTCCCACCTGAGTTCCTCGGGAATCAGGAAGGTGCTCCTGCAGGGACATTGATGATATTTTAGAAATGCTCAAAGTGCAAACTGTCTCCAGATTTATGTATCGCAAACCCAACTACCCTGACCTTCAGATGAACATAGGGTAGGTGAACAGGTGAATAGACGCTTCTTATTAGCAGATGATGGCACGAGTCCACGCTGCCTACAGGAAGTTGAACCTGGAACCCTCCCCAGTCATTCTCAAAAGAAACAAACAGAGTCTCTTTGGCTTTCTTTTTTTTTTTTTTTTTTTTTTTTTTTGAGACGGAGTCTCGCTCTGTCGCCCAGGCTGGAGTGCAGTGGCGCGATCTCGGCTCACTGCAAGCTCCGCCTCCCGGGTTCACGCCATTCTCCTGCCTCAGCCTCCCAAGTAGCTGGGACTGCAGGCGCCCACCACCACGCCTGGCTAATTTTTTGTATTTTTAGTAGAGACGGGGTTTCACCGTGTTAGCCAGGATGGTCTCCATCTCCAAGTAGCTGGGACTGCAGGCGCCCGCCACCACGCCCGGCTAATTTTTTGTATTTTTAGTAGAGACGGGGTTTCACCGTGTTAGCCAGGATGGTCTCGATCTCCTGACCTCGTGATCCGCCCGCCTCGGCCTCCCAAAGTGCTGGGATTACAGGCGTGAGCCACCGCGCCCGGCCCTCTTTGGCTTTCTTGAAACCAGCTCTGTGATATCTTCCTCTGCTCAAGTCATAGACTTAGCCATTGCTTTTCATAAGGTGTTAGTAGACACTGAGATAAACCTAAGGGTTGGCCTCATAGCTACTAAGAGTTTTATGAGCAGTTGAAAATGTTCACTTTACGTAATAAGATGCCATATCTAGTTTATCTGGCAACAATTTCTATGAGGCTGAAATATTACAGTGCTGTGGATTCTTACTATTCTTTATATAGAATTTGAAAAATAGTGATAAAAGTATAAATGGAGAGTACAGTTCTAATAATTTAAAAGTGTCTTTTCAAATATGGAGATCTGGCCAGGTTATCTTAACATAAAAAACATTTTATTATCTCTTAAAATCCGCAGGTGCCTTTCAGAATCTCCTCTCCCAGGACGGTCAGGAATGGGCTCTGGGATGATGTGTCTCTATGTCCATCCATAAGAAGCCCCAAAAGGGACAAAGCAGCAACTGAATAAATTGCTGCTAATGTCAAAAATAAAAGTGAAGTGCTCTCTTTGCCAGCACATATACTGAAATTGAAATGACACAGAGGAGATTAGCATGGCCCCTGTGCAAGGATGACATGCAAATTTGTGAAGCCTTCCATATAATATAATTTTGAATTTTATTTAAAAAGTGAAGAGACACACTTTCATGTAATAATTTGATTATATAATTTAGCTTGAATAAAAAGGGTTAAATGAATTCATTAATTCCTATTCACTTACACATACACAGAGCCAATTCCTATGCCCATATGCAGAATCCTATCATGCAAAACAATGGTAGGAAGATAGCTTGTAAGTGTCAAAAATTATCAAGTTATATTTATGGTTAGCCCTATAGAGACAATTATTAGTAGGTTTTACTTTTGATAAAATCAATGGTTTTAATAGCAATTGTGTTCATGAAAAAGGCAGATATTGGAAAATTAAAATTTGCCAAGGTGGTAATTTGGAAAACATTTTTTGTATTATCAAAACATTCTTAGGTTGACAAAACAGTAGATTCTGGCTTTGCTTTAAATGTGGAGCTTCCCTGATGCACTTAACCCATGCTTCATTTTACAAACTTCTTCAGCAACAGCGTTATTACCAAAAAAAGGGTGCAAGTAACTGGTCAGAGATTGCAACTATGGTCAGAGAATGGAAAACTTCTGGAATCAGAAAACCATGAGTTTGAGCTCTGACTCTGCATGAGCTGCGTCTAATGGTACAAGCTGTTGTTCTCTCTGAGACTCGGTTTCTTTCCTCTAAATGGAGAGATGTGACACATCTGGTGAGTTGTTTTGAGAGTTCATTGAGGTAGTGCATGTGATCTTCATTTGCAATGTGCTATTCAATTAAAGTAACTATTTGCTATGGACTCAATCTGTCCCCCTAAAATTTAAATGTTGAAGCCTGATGTGGGATTTGGGGATGGAGCCTGTGGGGGGTGATTGGGTTTGATGGGGGCATGATGAGATTAGAACAGACACCCAAGGGTTTGCTCCATCTCTCTACAATGTGAGGACACAGTGAGGAGGCAGCCGTCCGCAAGCAAGGAAGAGAGCCCTCGCCAGAACCTGACCGTGCTAGCACCCTCATCTCAAACTTCCAGACTCCAAAAGGGTGAAGAAATATGTTTTCTGCTGTTTAAACTGGCTGGTCTGTGGTATTTTGTTATGGTAGCCTCGGCCAACTAACACATTAGTGTAACATAGATCCCTAGTTCATTCTCAAACATCTACACCAAGAACTACACCATCTCAAACCAAGAACTACAATTGGGTGCAATGAATGCAGGATAGCTCTTGTCCACAAGGATCACAGAATCTAGGTGGAGAAACAGCACAAAGGTAGATACTTATACAGAAACTAAGTGCAATGATTAAAATATGTACAAAAAATTTCTAGGATGCCCGTAACTCAACTGTATTCCTAGAAGGCATTTTCCTAGAAGAGATATGGAAAAAAAAACTGAATTGAACCTCCTTAAAACAAGAGTGGGGATTACTTAAGAACATTACGTGATGGGCATAATCATGGGGTAAAATTGTATGATATCAGAAGTGTGAAGTCAGCAGCAGTTTGCCACTGGTTTTCAAGCATGGAAAAAAGAAAAAGAAACCAGAGACATAGGGAGTAGTCATATTGATTATGGGAAGTCATTGCCATGCTAAGCCAACAGGACAATTTTCAGCAAGGGAATAATGGAGTCAGACTCATGTTTTCGGTAGATCGCTCTGGTGGTTAGATGGAGAATGGATTTGCCAGTGGGCCTGGATGTAGAGAGAAAAGTGGGTAGAGGGTTTTAGTAGGTCTTCATTCATTCATTCATCCATTCCTTCATTTATTCAACAAATGTTTTTTGAGCACCCACCGTGTTTCAGGTCTCTTCTTGACAGTGGAAATACAGTCAATAAGACAAATGAGGTCTCTGTCCCATGGAGCTCTGTGTTAGATGCTCTGTTCTGGGAAAGGTAGTCAGCGAGCAAGAAAATAAGTCCAATAATTTCAGTGAGTGATAAGTGCTATGATCAAAAATAAAGTTGAATGAGAAAACTCAAAGTTGGGGTTTATTTTAGTAAGAAATTCATTTTGAAGAGTTGATATCCAAGCACAGAATTCAAGAATTATCTGGGAAACCTTAGAGTTAAAAAAAAATGTCCTCAGCAGAAGGAACAGCACGTGTTTTGCATGGGAAGGCAGAAGAAGAGTGTGCTGGAGGAAAGGAAGTCAGGGAAGGACCAGGAGGGATTACCCAGAGGTAAAGTGGATCTATTGTTTCCCGTAATAATGCAGTTGGTCTTTTTTGCATTGCTTAAACCATTCTGATTATTATAATAGATAGGTACAGAAAATCACATAAAGCAAAAGTATAATCTGATAAATTATTATAAAGCATATACCCTTGTGGCTACTGCTCAAATCAAGACAGGGAATTTCACTGCCTCTCCCTCATACACCCTCAACCCCCTTAAAATTATTAATCACCATCTCTATTTTTAGAGTAGTCTCTTCTTGGTGTTTCTTTAGAGGGTTATCACTTAAAGAAGCATTTCTAAACAGTTTGTTTTAGTTTTGCTAGTTCTGGCTTTAAAATGGCTGTTAATCTCTAAATATTCCATTTTCATCCCTTCCTTCCCTTACAATTTTTTGATGAATCCTGGTATTTCATGTTGATGGCATCCCATGGCAAGGTTTAATATCCCTCTTTTCCCTGTAGTTTCTGTGAGGCTGGTATTTAGAGAGAATTCATCAGATTCATGGTTTGTTTGTTTCCTGCTTTTCCTTGTTTTGTTTTTTCTGCAAGACAAACGATGGTGGTATTTTCTTTCTTTCTTACTGTGGCATTTCCTGTTAATGGTGCTTGATGCCTGTACCTAGGAGTTCACTAGGAGTTAGAAAATAATGATATTTTAACATTTTCTTTTTTCATTTATTGCTTTGAATATGACTATAAACAGGCATTTCTTTGCATCTATTTTTTAGATAACGAGTGATACTGTGCATACAGGAAAGGTATGATAAATGCTTGATTCTTAACTTTTCATTTACTAGTTTTCAAGGTAACCAATTGTCACCTTAGTGAAAACCAATAGTTTCCTATTGCTGTTATAGTAAATAACTACAAACCTATAATACAAACTTATTCTCTTGCAGTTTTGGAGGTGAGAAGTCTAAAACAGGTCCCTAGGGCTGGTTCCTTTGGAGGCTCTGGGGAGAAGCCAGTCTGTCTTTTCCAGCGGCTCAGTGCCTCCTGCACTCCCTGGCTCTTGGCTCCCTCCTCCATCCTCAAGGCCAGCAGCATAGAAGGTTCACTCCTCTCTCACCTCTGCCTCTGTCCTCACTTCTCCCTTTGCATTCTCTGATCGTCCAGTATCTCTCTTAGAAAACCCCTTGTGAATACATCAGATCCATTCAGATAACCCAGGAAAATACCCCGTCTCAAGATCCTTGACTTCGTCACATCAATAAAGTCCCTTTGGTTATATAAGGTAAACTATTTACAGGTTCTGGGAATTAGGATGTGGACATATTTAGGGGGGTCATTATTCTGCATACCGCAGTGACCAATTATTTTTTCTTAAATAGTATTTTGAACATATGAATTTAAACATATTTCATGGGTTTCAATTAACTGTAGTATCAGTTCAAATTGTCCTCCCATCATTGGCTGGCAGGATTGGTGGGATCCTGCACTTTTTGATCTGGCCATCATAATCTGTCTTAGCTTCCTTATATCTATCTGGTATAACTACCTAGTTCCAAGAAACTCTGATTTTTTTTCATGAGAAATAGTATTTCAAAACCATGATCTCTCCATTACTACTGTGTAAGTTATTATTTTTCCTAGGCTTTACCAATTCAAATTTATCATAAAAATACCCTTTTTTATCTTATGGATGTATTTCCATACTTCCATATTAAGTATTCTGGGTTTTGAGATACCTAACTAGAATTTTTTCATAATTACTTGTTTGCCTTTTTTCCACCCTACATGTATGACAGTTTCAAAGTGGCAATACCAACTTAACCCACCTGGTATGATATAGCACATACTCACCCAATTTTCCACCCATTTTATAGTTGTACTACATCTACATTGTCAAAGCCGTAGCTGTCATGTTCTCTATTCTTTTTCCCTCTCATGTGGTCTCACTGCTATAGGTAGCTACATATTTAAGGTTCACACCAGCACTAGTATTAATTCCTTTGGTAATGTGATGCTCATTATCCAATAGATTTTCCAGAGAGGAATTATGGAAGAAATACTCCTGAGTGTTTGTACATTGATTAGCATTTGTCTGTGATCCTCATATTCAAAAGCAAATTTGAGTGGATGATAATGCTGGGTTCACATTCCTTTTCCTTGGTTGTCTTAACTATGGTTCTCCATTTGTTTTTGCAGCCTAAGTCTTGCTGTTAAGAATTTTGTGACAATTTTTTTCCCCATTACAATTTACTTGGTTTGGGGGCTTAGATTCACAGATGGTTTCTTTCGCTTTAACTAGACTATGTCTTGGTGTTGGGCATTCTCCATTAATATTTTCAAATAGTTGATGTACTCTTTCAAAATGTACTTTCGGATATTTTTAAAATAAATAGTTTTTCAGGAGAGTTTTCTTGCTTAATAGATTTTAGTATTTGTTGCTTATTTGCTTTAATTTCTTTTTTTAAGGACTCCTATAATGCATATGTTGGATCTTCTTTTCCCCTTTCTGTAATAATGGCACTTTTCTTTCTTTTATCCTTTTTGTCTCTTTCTTCATTGGTATCTGATTTTGCTCATTTTCATTCTCTATTCTTGAAAGACATCATTTATTCTGCTTATTTGCCCTTGTGTTCATTCTAGTTTAGCATTCAATTCTCAGCTGATACTTCTTTTCATTATAATTCTTTCAAGCTATATCTCCTAAATTCTGCATTTTTTTTTACAATTCTAGTATATGTTATTTTTTCATAGCTTGCATTATTTTCTTAGTGTTTTATTTTAAAATAGCTGGCTATATTTTCATGAACATCTTTGGCACATTTTTCTGACATTATAGTTATTTATCAGTAGAAATGTTATTTTGTGTATTTTTAAAAATAATAACTTAGCATGGGATTTAACTCCAGCATTTTTTTCTTGTGCTTTTCTTGCGAAATTACTTTGCCTGAACTTTTAGAAAAGGTGTGGACCAGGATATCTTTTTTTTTTAACTTCAGGGAGTGTCCCGCCTATTGTTGGCATGTGTCATTTGAAAGTGTGGTCGTTGCTTTCTGAGAGCTCTTGGCTTTCCTCTCAAACTTTTCTCTAGACCTTTCCTTATGGTTTTTTTTTTTTCTTTCATTTTTCTTGTCCCACTAAATGTATATCCTTGCCTAAATACTTAACGTTTTATACTAGAGCATAACGTTTTATACTAGAGGTTATTTGATTGGTAAGTTTTTAAAGTTCATAAAGTCTGACTCTCCTGGTTTCTACTAACCTTCCTGCAGGTCCTTCCACTACCTTCTATTGCAGGGAGCAAACATCTTCCCACTTCAGCTGTGGAGAAAATTGGCCTCTGTGATTCCCAGTGAATTTTTTTCAGCTCCTGTGGCCTGTGGGATGCTCAGGCATGTCCTCTGCTTCCCCAGGCAGAGTCCAGGATCCCATGCTGATGTGGTGGTTGTGATTTTCCACACTCCTTTAGGCTGGAGTTTATAGAGTTACACTCCACTGAGCTTTATCATAGAACATGTTCACAGACCTTTGCTTTCACTATCTTGATGCTCCTGGTTGCTCTACTTGTTGTTTATTAATGGATTCAGTGAGATTAAAAAACTATGCTGCCTCAGCTGCCATTGGCTCAGAATACCAAAAAGGTATAAATTTTATTTTGTGAGGGATGGACTACCACTATAGTATTTTGAGCAGAGAAATAAGATGATCTGGTTTCTATATTTACCTTATTCCCTTTTCTGTTGTGGGGAAAATCTGTGCCAGAGTGGGCATCCCAGGGCAGGAGCAGGAGACCAGCAGGGGCAGCTGCTGGCAGAGACAGGTCTCAACCCCATGGCAGGGAGGAACTGGATGTCTTAGATGCACTTCCTTCCTAGGGCACTTGCCACAGAAGCAGGGGGCCAGGAAGAGAGTGCAGGAGCCTGTGATGGGCCTGAGGTTTAAGGTATAAAAGCTGAGTGGGGGCCTGTGATGAACCTCTGATTTCGGGTGCATGAGTTGACTGGTGGATGCTGCCCTTTTGGAAGACAGGGACACTGCGGGGGAACTCATCCAGACAGGGGTGGGAATAGTTCTTTTAGAACACATTCTGTTTGAGGGGCACATTAAGAACCCAGGTGGATCTGTGGAACAGGAAGTTGGTCATTGGAGTTTGGAGCCCAGGTGAGAGGTCCTGGGCAATGACAGGGCAGCATCTTTCTTCTGAAGGAGGGAGCATACATGGGGGGAAGGGAGGCTGGGACCTGAGTGCCAAGCTTAGAAAATGCAACAAAATCAGGCAAAAAGGGCTGAAATGAACAGTCAGTGAGGTTGTAGAAAAACTATGGGTGCAGTTTTTTTTTTTTTTTGACGGCCATAGGAAGATTGTATTTCAACTTATTCAGATAAGAGATGAGAGGGACTTGACCTACATTCGTGACAATGGGCACAGCAGGGCAGGGAGTGATTCAGAAGATAATTGGAAAGACAAATGGTAGAAATATGTAGCTGGCTGGATGTTAAGTGAGAGGGACTGGGAAGCCGAAGGTGCTTTCTCAGCATCCTGCATGGCCATGGAATGGAATGGCACCAGCACCTGAGCCAGGCAGTAAGAGGAGAGAGGAAGTCCTAAGGTTCCTTGAAGCACAGGTAAGGGATCACCCATGTGCTTGCAAATGGACCTTTGGCTCCTACCAGTGAAGTTGGTAGCAGTGGAAGCATTAACTTGACTGAGTGAGTGCCTGTGTGTCCACATTGCTCTTGAAACCCTCCCCATATCTGATCTGGGCAACGGTAAAGAGCAAGTTCATTAGTAGTTGCTCAGTGCAGGGGAAGGGAAAGTGATTTAAAAAGCTGGAGGGAGCTTTCTAGGGTGTTGAAAATGCGCTTTCCATTGTGATTTCCAAATGATTAAAACTGTCAAAACTCATTAAATTGAACACTTAATATAGGTTCATTTTATTGTATGCTAACTATAACTCAAAACTATTCACTATTCAACTGAAAGCAATGTTCGTGGTTATGAATGTTACCATGTCAGCAAAACCAGATGACTCACCCCTCAGTGTATATATTATGCATGTATGATACAGTTTCCACGTGACAATATAGGGTTATCCAACTATTCCCTCCACCTCAAGTGAAAATTCACTCATCTAGAATATATGCCCCCATAAACAAATAAAGTCTGTTATAGAAACCATGGCATGGCTGGATATTATTCCCTGTTTGAAAATGGACTAGGGATAGAAAAGCTAATTCAGGACATGTCTGAGGTAGACACAAGGACAGGTGGCATTGTTGTTAAGCTAGACATGTAGTCCTGCTGAGAAAGTTAGAAATAACTTTCCTGTATGGGAGTTAAAATTAGCCAGTGCCAGGAAGAATAATAAAAGTTAGGAAAGTTTAAATGTAGGTGGAGTAAGTTATTGAAGTATTATTATACATTTATGACAGGATTACCTACTACCCTTATTCCCCAAAGACTTATTGGTCTTTAACCAACAAGGAATCTCCACTGAATGGGGCTGAGTTTACTTTAAGGATTATAGGATGTAATATATAGAAAGGTGTAGCACAAAGCTGGTGCGTATTTAGCACTAGGTAAATGTTTGCAATCTTCAACCACAAAATGCTCTAAGTCGGGTTTACACATACACACAGCCAAACCACTGCAGATTTACAAACTCGGAAAGGGAAAAATTGTGTGTGTGCATCTGCGTATATAAAATATATTTACAAAATCTGTGCCTAGTAGTATAGAGTGTTAGGATGAAAAAGACTTTAAAAATCATTAAACCCAGGCTTGTCATTTTTCAATGAAAAAAACACAGCTCAGAGATGAATTGCACAGTTCCTTTGCTGAGATGAAATGGGATCAAGGCATCGAGTGGTGGACGCACCCCTTGGAGGTATTGTCAGATCTGAATTTGCTCCCTAGTGTTCCCCTCTCTCTTTGCAAACCCCCCTTCCTCACAGACTCATCATCCATGGACAGTGCCAGTGAACTTCCACTGGACCGGCTGGGAATTTCCGTCTTGCCCAACTCTCCCTATTTTCAAATGCCAGTTTCAGCATCTTGACGGTGCTAGTATAGTCTATATTTACATTATTTTTTAGAAATAAACAAAGAAAGATATTCATGGTTAGTAAATAATATATGTTAAAGACCTTTTTTTTAAGTATACAAGGGGTCAAATAGCCTTTCCTTTGTAATAAACACATTTCTGATCTTGTTGTCCTTGACAGAAATCAAACTTTCAAAATGCAGTCTATGCTTTCTCACATTTCCATCATGTCCTGTTTCAACTGCTTTTACTTTTAACTGAAAAGTGTAATCCTTCTCTGGTCAAAGTAATATGGAAAATCAAATTTTAAAAATGATTTTATTTCCTACTTAATGCATTGGAGAGATAACCAGACTGTGCCTAGAAAGTGTGCACTCCTTTTTACACATTTATCCAACTACGTGTTTCCTTTACACATGTACATGAAAATCAAGGTCTCAGGCAGCTCTTTAGCACCAAAATGGGAAATCCATGAAAACAAACACAGTCCTCTTAAAAGTCAGGTATTCATTTCTCATTGGCAATGTACATTTTTTGTCCTTTAAAACAAGCACTTTTTGACTGAGACAAAAAGAAAGAGGCTACTTTCAACTAAGGAGGATTTTTCTCACATTGATTATTTAGTTTTATTGTTGGATAAATATAAAATTAGTTCACTTCCTTTTAAAGATGAAGGAATGCAGAAGAAAGCTTCGCAAAGAGATTATGTACATGTTGCGACTAAGAAACAAATCAGTGCATTTTTAACTACTCTGGTGAAGTGAGGACTCACCCACCAGGCCATTTCCACTTCTAATTCTAGGTGTGCAGTCTGAAATGGTATCTAATACTAATTTGAAGTGCAGAGCAGCTGGGGCCCGTGTGCTTGTCACTGTGTGAGACATAAATGGAGCAGTATGAGACCTTTATTAGACTAACAGATATTGTGTGTACACAGACATTAGCTAATCTATTGGATTTAGCCAGGCATTCTGAGAAACTGATTTACTGGGCAAATACAAAATAATCCACGTTTAACCTTTAAGCTCACAGAACCAGAGTATCTTATTTATCTGTGGCTTTCTTTCTTTCTCCTTTCATTCCTTCTACCTTTTTAAAAAAAATGAAGAGAAGATTGAGACTTTGAATGATTTGTAAAAACGGAATCGTCTGAATTTTCTGTTTACTAATTACATGATATGCTGCACAAGCCGTCCAGCGACACGTGTCATTTATGGTTGAAATCAGATGGTGTGACAGATAATAGCTATCGTTACCTTATTAATAGAGTTTAGTGGCTAAGACTGGGTAACTGGTTTGAAGTCATTAATAAACATTATGAGATAAAATAAGTAGATTTCTGCCATGTGAGTTGAATAGGTCGCCAACAGAACGCTGCTTCTCACCCTGGCTCCATTACTGGACTCAGTGCCACTGAATTATGAATTTTGTCACCACCAGCTTCTTCTACCATGTTCTCCGAAGGGCAGATGACCCAAATGAATGCAAATCGAATTAGGTTTCCTCTCAGAGACTTTAATACCATAAATGAGAAAGAGCATTCATCACAAATAACTAGGGATTGTATACCAAAGTGCTTGAAGAAAATCAATATACTTTCAGCTGCTCTCGGCCTATAAATGTAAATGAGAACAGATATAAAGCTGATATGCACTAGAGAAAGGTTATTGAGAGAGCAACACATAACACTAAGAAATCAATTGAATAAACTTGAAAAATGATTCAGATAGAGTAGATATGAACATAGAAAATCAATCATATAATTTAAAGAATAAACAGCTTGAACCTCACAAATCTCCCGTATGGTTTTAGAGTGTAGGATTTTTAATTTAGCATTGATATAATGCCAAGCTATGAGAATCTGCAGATGGCGGAGGCTAGCAGGAAAATCAATTCATTCTTGTTCTATGGTCTAAAGGGGTATTTGATATTTACAGCAGGGCAGCATGAATCCTTGTATAAATTTACATTTTAAGAGATAAAGGGCCTCTGTATTTTGTCTTGTTATTGTTAATAGAAACTGTCTACTTTTATTCTGTCCACTTTCTGGGGAAGCGTAGCTGTCTTTGTGTTGCTGTGTGTCACAGGCAATTTTCTAGGCTTTATTTTCTTGATATACAAAGTTTTGCTTTGTGCTTTTTTTTTCCCACTGCAAGGCAATTGAGGTGGCATAATTGCATCAGTGCTACAGAAATACAGGCTGCAATTTGGGGGAAAAAAACAATTCCAGACAAGTTCATTTATATGTTGTGCAGAGGTTCAGAGGTTAAGAAAATGTGACAGGGTACAAGTAAATGTATATGTAAATTCAAGAGACTTTCATTGCACTTATAATCAGTTATTTGCCTTTTTGCTTCCAACTCAGGGATTTGTCATTAGGAAAAGCTGAAAAATCAAATTCACCAATGATCCTACAGACGCCAAGTTGGAAACATGCTCCCAAAACTTTAGATGGTCAGAACTCTGATATATAGAACACAAATATCATCGAGCATTTGCATCATCTGAGTGATTTGTGGCTTTTATTTGCCTAATGGAAATGGATATCACTGCATTAGAGGTGTCTTTCTCTCTAGCTCTGCTTCCTTCTCATCAGTCCCCGCCTTCCCAGGCAAGAGAAAGTCGCCTCTTCTTTGCTCCGAAGGCACCGTGGAAACCACAAAGGGGGCTGAATCCACTTCTTTAATTTCCAGTGAATTCCACATAGTGAAAATGCTCAATTTGACTTTTTTTTTCTGTATGAAAGTAGATACGAGTGCAGGTTTTATTTTCATGACAATATGAGCCTAAATGCTGTTACTATGTGAGGTCTATTACATCCAATGGGGGCTGTAAGGCTGAAGCTTCACTTGTAACCCAGAGATTTTTTTCACAAATTCTGTGACTGACTCCTTTCTCTCAGCTCTGTTCCTAGGATTCTTAACTCAGAAGAGGACCCTAGACAGATTACACAAAAATTTGATTAAAGAAAAGAGAGATGTGGTGAATATCGAGGTAATATATGTAATCCACATTAATGAGAAGACAGTGAACATTTCAAATGCTTGTTATATATACATATACACAATCATGTGCTGGAAGACAACATTTGTTCAACGGCAGACTGCATATGTAACTCTAGCCTCATAAGATCATACCACATTTTTGCTGCACCTTTTTTGTGTTTAGATACACAAACCCGACTGTGTTATATTGTCTACAGTATTCACTACTTGCTGTGAAGGTGCATGGGGGCAACGGGCCACACTGCACAGCCTGGGTGTGTAGAAGGCTCTCCCGTCTAGGTTGGTGTGAGTGCATTTGAGGATGTTCATGCGGTGGAATTGCCTAGGGATGCATTCGAGGAATGGATCCCTGATGTGTGACTGTACGTCTGCACTCCAGTTTACCCCTCTCCACCATGAATGTGGCCATGCCAAGTTCTTCAGAAGACGTTAGCTCTTTTGGATATACGGATTACATTTTTCCAGTCTATGATTTTAAAAACAAATGTACAGAGATTCTGATTTCAGAGAGATGGAGTAGACATTTTCTTCCCTAGTCTTCCCATGAGGTGCAGCTCAAAACCCTGGATGTCATAGATTAAACACACGTAAGACTCTGAAGATGGAGAGAAGAGGCAGAGTATCCAGGGACTTCAACCGGGAAATGACATGGGAGGGAGTTCACTGGACTTTCCTTCTGCCTCATATATCCCAGGCTTGGAGGTAAAGAAGCCAGCAATCCAGAAGTGCCAGTTAAAAGACAGACTGCATATGTGACTCTAGCCTCATAAGACAATACCACATTTTTGCTGTACATTTTCTGTGTTTAGACACACAAACACCACTGTGTTAGATTGTCTACAGTATTCAGTACTCGCCATGCAGGTGTGTGGGGGCAACGGGCCACACTACACAGCCTGAGTGTGTAGAAGGCTGTCCCATCTAGGTTGGTGAAGAAAAAAGGACAAGTCCTCAGAACAGCTGCTCTCCAGCCAAAGACCCAGGAAAGGGACAGCCCAGCAAGATAGAAAGCTTTTTTTAAATTTTCTTTTGCTGGGGACTTTCTTTTTTACAACTCCATAACATACTATTTCATGACTATCCTTCTGTCTACATTGAGAATAAGCATATTTGTTTACCAAATCTATGGTATACACATTTGAAAAGTGTGCAAGAAGGTGGAGTTTTCTAAGCAGTGTCCAGATTGGGAGTGGGTATTTCACCTGCAACCTGGCATAGAAAGGACCATGCTCAGTCCTGTTTTCAGCTAGGAGCCTGTGTCTGACCTTGGAGCATCCTAGAGAGCTGGTACATCACACCGTGCATGCTTACAATGCCTGCGAGACACCCAAGGCAGACCACAGAGCTGGTACATCACACCATATGCTTGCAATGCCTGTGAGGACACCCAAGGCAGACCACAGAGCTGGTACATCACACCGCACATGCCTACAATGCCTGCGAGGACACCCAAGGCAGACCACAGAGCTGGTACATCACACCGCATTCTTAAAATGCCTGCGAGGACACCCAAGGCAGACCACAGAGCTGCTACATCACACTGCATGCTTACAATGCCTGCGAGGACACCCAAGGCAGACCACAGCGCAGGTCTCAAAACCACCATCCGGGCACCGAAAACCCTGAACTTACAATGCCAGCTCTCTTACATCTCTTACGGGAGCCTGGCAGCATTGGCAATGCTATTTTCCTTCCTGTTGCAGTGATATGATTAGGGTATGCCTGGAGGGAATAATGGTTCCAAAAACATAGAAAGAAAATTTGAAATAAAATAAGAATTCATATCAATAATAGATAAGGCTTATGCAAACCTGGGTTTAGAAACACTTGTGTATATTCGAAATGAGAAGTTAGACAGGAGTTTAGTGAAGTGTTTCTTTTATCTTGCCAGTTTCATTCCTTTTTTGTATACATAGTCATGTCTCAGTATCAGTCGGGGACTGGTTCCAGGACATCTTGGATGTGGAAGTCCTTGATATAAAATTGTGTGGTATTTTTATACAAGCTATGCACACCTTCCTGTGTGCTTTAAGTCATCTCTAGATTACTTATCACACCTGATACAATGTAAATAGTGGTTGTGCTATATGGCTTAGGAAATAATGGCAGGGCAACGTCAGTACATGTTCGGTACAGGTGCAACCATCCTTTCCCTCCTGAATATTTTCTATTGCAGTTGGTGGAAACCACAAATGTGGAACCGATGGAAAAGGAAGGCCAATCATATCTAATCCAAAAATGTGAGCAGAGCTGCTACTTACCAATCTTAAAAAGGGGTGTGAACCCTTGATTTCCTACATACACATCCTACTTCTGGGATTAAAGTCCTACCAGAAGCAGGATTTTTAAAAAATATAAAAATCGATTGTTATTTAAAGATTGGCAATCTCCAGTGTTGTTTGGCTTTGAAACAGACATTTTCAGCTTCACCACTCTTTTTGTTCATGTCGTAAATAATTGTGCACGGAAACACACACACATTATTATATGCTTATTTATGTGTATAATATAATCTAAGGAGATCCAAATTTGTTTCTGGATTTGCATTTTGTAATTTATTTCATGAACAATTAGACACTGTAAAATGGGAGAATTTTTCCTTTTTATTATTTTCAAAAATATTTCTATGTAATGTTAGCTATGTTTTATAATCTGTTAATGAAACAAAGCATGTCTGTTTGTGTGTGTGTTGTGTGTGTATTTGATTTTCAAGAACATATGCAAAATCTCCTCCTCAAGGAGACAGGGCTGAGAGAATTGAACTTTTCCTTTCCCTGTAAACTTCGTGAAACTGTGTATTGGTAGAAGACAGGACTTCTGTGATAGCATGTTGAAATGCTTTTGAAACTGTAAGCATGTAGTAAACTCTTATTGAAAGCATTTTATGTGTCAGGAATTGTGTTGACTTCTGAGAAAATAACAATATTTAAAAATCCATGGACATGACCTGAAGACCTCTTTGACTGACAGAGGGCAAGCTAGCAGTATTACATAGACAGAGTGAAAACGGGGCATCACCAGGCCATGAAACACGTGCAGAGAAGGGGGCGACTGGCTCTGTGTGCTGGGGCAGCAACGGCATTGGGGCATGGAGTGCAGGCTGGAAGGCACTGTGAGGGCTGATGGGGCCAGCAGGACTCAGCAGGAGGAGACCTACCTGTCCTGTGCAACGTTCTCAACATGTGCTCAATCATAAGACAGAAAGGGGTGGTTGGGGAAGGAGACTGGCAGGTGAGAGGGACCCAGGTGAGTGTGCTATAGATGGCGGTGGGGGGGCGGTCTTTGGAGCCAGGCAGGCATGGTGACGGGAAGACTGTGGAACGACGAACCTCCCAGGCTCAACAGCCTGGTCCTAGCAAGGAGATGAATAAATGCACTTACCTCCTATAGCAGCCGATCATGCATTTTTATAATCATTATGATTATTAAAGATCTGGTAGGGCAGACTAGGAAACTTGGAATTTTATTCTTTAAGTGACCCTGCCACAAATCACCTGCTTTCTCGAAATGCACTTGACTGCAGGTGTCTGAGGAAGAGCGAGGGAAAGGCTGGGAAGTTACTAACTGACTCTATTCTAGGAAAACAACAAAACACACACAAATAAACGTGCAAATAACACATCTTTGTCTATATTTATTATGAAGGAATGTAACCTTTTACAAAAAATAATAAAAGGGATGTTTACTTATTGGAAGTCTTATTACTCTAGTTTATACCCTCTATTTTAACATGAGTTGTCTGTTATCTGTCTCTGTCTGTCCGTCTCTCTGTCTTTCTCTCTCTGTCTGTCTGTCTCTCTCTCTTTCTCTGTCTCTGTCCCTGTTGCGCTCTCTCTCTCTCTCTCTCTGGTTTTGTCTCCTATCTCTCTCTCTCCATCTCTCTCTCTCTCTCTCTCTCTCTCATTTTTCTTCTCTCTCACACACGAACAGAAAAACAAAACACAAACCTTCTTGGGCATGCCCATTGGGCATATCTTTGCAAACCTAATACTAACAATACTAATCTATTTATCTGAGAGTAGGAAAAGGAATAAATGTTACAACACATTAGAATTTCTGCTCTCTCAGTGTGTTTAACTGGGGACCAAATTAGTGAAAATCAGATGGAGTAAATTCAGTCCTCGAAAGGGTTATGCCAGGGCTTGGTAAAGAGGAGCACTGAGATGTTATTTGGAACAAACACAAGGTAGGAAATCCTAAAGTAAGGAGAGAGAGCGTAGCTATTATACTCTCTTTTACTTAGAATAAGACAGAAAGAGGACAGGCATTTATTGCATGGCCACTGAATGCTAGGCGTCGTACCTTGTGTAGACGTGTTATCACATATTTTAAGAATATTTCTTAATCTTCGTAAGCCTCAATGTGGTGGATATTGTCATCCTATCTTACAGTCAGGGAAAGATTTTTAGGAGAATCAAGACACAGGTAGCTAATAAGTAGCCCATGGACTTGGTATTCCACCCACGTCCTTCTCTAAATGCTGCGGTGACACAGTCCTCATCGAAGGTGAGTTAGGAGTGAATGTAAAGATGGGTTAAGAATAGGGCCCCTGATTCAGACACAGCTGGACTTCAAATCCATTCACAAGCCCTAATACCTTGGTATAGTCACTTATGCTCTCAAATGTTCACTTTCTTCAGGTTTAAAACATAATAAATTTATTTTAGGGATTAAATAAATACACATGGAAAACATGCAATTTAATGTCCAATGGGGAAAATAATATTATTAAGACAAATACTTTATGTTTAGAATCACTTGGTTATCATTATTATTAGCTACCTTTTGTGGACATTTCATTTCTACTGCAATACAAGCAGCATTTTACAGCACTGGCCTCTGAGGTTTATGATTTAAGTCCTGTTTCCAGGGAAAGGGCAGTAAAGAGGCTTTAGTTGGCTCAAGAATCCAGTAAAACGTGTGCCTGTTCCTACAGTTTTCTAGCATGCTATGAGAAATCTCAGATTTATTTCCATTTGAAGATTTCTGGATTTAACATTTGCATAAATTTCTATTTTTCTATGTGTCCTGGTGATGTCTAGTGCAGTTCTTTTAGGGCAAAGAGGCAAAGGAAAATAACAAGGAGCAGACATAACATATGTAATGCTCTGGCTAAAATATCAACAGGAGTTAAAGACTTCAGCAAGGAAGATATTTAGCAAATCGATAATTTAGACTTCCATTTATCTTTTGGTATCTAATTTTTTTCTTTAAAAAAATGATGATTCAAAACCAATGCTTGAAGTAAGGTCAGTAAAAGTTTACATTAACACCTGTGTCTGACTTCCTATGCATATTGCATTTCAAAGCAAAAACTAGGTTTAGGGCATGCTTCTGTATTCTTATAACTGGAAATAGGGTCGGACCTTCATAAGTGGTTCCTCCTGCTCACTGTGAAAGGTAAAGATCATCTTGACCCCTCAAAGCCTGGCTGTGCTGCACTTGAGATACGGCTGACAGTCGCCTCTCATGGCACATGATCTACGTCTCTATTCATCCCACTTCAACCCCTGCGTTTCTTGTTACGGAATTCACCCCAGATGCTGCAAATGAAGATCATTTAATAAAGGAACCATTCTGGATGCTGCGGACCCCAGAAACAGCAAGTGGGGCCCCCTCACTCAGCTGAAGGAGCAAGGGGAGGAGATGATGCCACTGCAGACTGGGAAGTGGGGCCACTTGGCGAGAACCACAGTTGTGGAGGGGCCCAGCTGTGTCCCAAGAGGTGAAGCTCCGTCTCCTTTTGCCTTTTGGTCTCCTACCAGAGCCCTCCACAGACCGGACTCAACCAGAAGACAGTGACAAAGGGGCCAGGGGAGGCGGGTGTGCACAGCGGGCAGGGTCAGCCTCCAGTGCTCCAAGCAGGGAGAGGGACAGAGCCAGGCAGGCCATGGAGAAGAACTGCAAAAAAGGTGATCAGTAACCATTCGGCGATGTCCCCACTGCGTGGTGCAGAACTCAGCACAGATTAGACCCCAGATAAGAATTTGTTGAATGACCGAATGAATAAATGCTTGTTGGGAATCCCCCCTCCCCGCCAAAAAAAAGAAAAGAAATTACAACATTGCAGCCAAATAAACACTAAGAAAAGTGTTATACAAAAATCCAATAGCAGATCCTTTCTAGTGCATGTCCAGCGATACAGAATAGGATGGACAGGAGAGGGGTGAACCTGGGGACCACTGGCCGCAATCCCCGCCTGTGCCTGAAGAAGATGCAACAGCACAAGTTCCTGTGACCTCAGGCACCTCATATGTAAAATGATGACGACAATGGAACCCCCACCTGGCAGGGCTTCTGTTAGTCATAGGAATGGTGGAGGCGATTAAGAAAGTGCCTGAAATTCTAGCCTGTGTTTGCTAAGTGCTGTTAATCTCACAGTGATCATGGATCATGCATCAGGGAAGGATGCTCGCCGAAGAGCTTTGCTGGTCTCCTGGTAAGGAAGGAAGTTACTCCAGGGAGAGTGTGCCCCCTTTCTTGTTCATCCAGCTCTTAGCTCCCTCACGACCCCTGGGGAGAAAGGTAACTGCATCAGTCATCCCAGAGGACAGGTTTCTGAGATGTTATCTGGGAAAATAGACGTGCCATTTAACTCTATGTAATTTAAATCAAATTGGATATAATGGTTCTTGGTGATGAAGTTTGAAACCTGAAATTTGAAATGAAATATTACCAGCTTTTTGGACATGCCATCCCAGGCTCTTTGCAGGTTTGAGCAGTGGTAGATTGAAGGACATGGGCATGGGGCCAGCACAGTTCCTGGCACACAGTGCTCGGTAAGTGACTTTGAGTGCCTGACACCAAGACAATTGGAACCTGAAACCCATGGTGTTTTCATGCTAATATCATGACACAGCGGCCTGACGTGCACATGCAATAACACTGCATATGTGCCCGGGAAGTATGGCTTTCCAGATGTGTTTTCATATCACTTCCAAAACTCATTTTAAATTTTTGTCTTATGCGGGGGCCTGGGGGGTTGGGAAGGCAGATGGAGCTTGGGGTAATTGGCAGTGAGGGAGAGGAGAGCAGGAGTGGGGGTGGCCCAGCCAATGCCCTTGCCTCCCACAAAGCTGTGCAGGAGGAAGCCTCACAGCCAAGGGCACCAACAGCTCCTCCAGCTGGTCCTCTGTGCAGATTCCCCACACGGAGTGAGGATTTGGGGTTGCTACACACGAAGCTGTCTACATGCCTGCCTGGACCCAACTCTACATATTGTAGGACAAGTCTGAAAACAGGACTAATTATTTATTTACAGCAAATATCAACCAGTGTATGATTTTCATTCCTTGGTACTTCCACCCGGGTGTTGACTTATGTTATAAGCTTAGAGTCACGGTAATGACAAATAAATGTGAGCAACTTCAGATCGTGGTTAAAACTGATGCATATATTCATGCATCCGTGCATTCATTTTCAGCAAACAAGAAGAGCCTCCTGTCTGCGGAGCGCTGCTCTGGGGAGTGGGGCACACCAGGAAAGGAGACAGCCTCCAAGAGAAGATGCTGGAATGAGTCTAGGACCCTGTGAGTCAGGACAGAGGCACAGGAAGCAGCCACACATCAGAATGCGGGGAGGAGGGCAAGAGGGTCACTCTGGCTACAGCATTGCAGAGACGCGTAAGACAGAGAGGAAATGGGGAGGTAGGCAGAGGCCGTATCGCCGAAGGTTTTGTGAGCTGTGTATTAAAAAGCATGGTCTCAATCAGACAAGGGTCAGGCAGGGACTTCTCAACCCTCCTCACAGTGGAATCACCTGTGGACCTTTAGTGACTATCGTTTCGTGGTGACATATTTTGCTTGATGCCAAGGTACTCGTAGGTGCTTAAGGAATGGCTTCTGAGTCATGAAGCTCATAAACCATTCTTTAACTTATATCAGTCAAGGAAGAGTTAACTAATAAAGTGGTTTCAGAGATTATCAGAAAATATTAATATAATTCCAATTGATGAATTCAACAGGAAATGTGAATATCAGAACAGTCTCTTTCTATCTCCTTGCTCTAGCAAGCAGCATTTAAAGTTGAGTGTTGTTTGGCTTAAAAGTGTAATTTATTTTTCACTGCTGAGTTAGCAATACTTAGGCATATTATGCATGCTTAAGAGAGCAGCTTAGTTAAGCTTTAGTGCATGATTCTTAGAAGGTTGTGTTTGAAACTGAATGTGAACGCACAAGTGGGCCAACCTGTGACACAGACAGGAGGTGTCATTGCATAAATTAAGCATCTGCTTCATGCATTGCTGCAACTAGTGAGTTTTATTCATAAAATATTTACACACTATGTTCATAGCTGTTATTGCTCTGTGCCAAGTGAATGAATTTTCTATCTGAAGAAGCAAATGAGTTTCCAACTTGTTAAACTTAACCCCCAATGTCCATATGTTCAATTTTTTTTTCATATTCAGGAGAATCGTTCATGAATATGAAGTAAGCAGTGTTTATATTTCATGGTTGTGATCCCAGAATCAATGTGACTATAAGGGAAAAAGTAGATTGGTTAAGAATATATTTATTAATTTTTGGTAGAAGTAATAGAGCAAGTATTAGAGGAAAAGTTCTCAACATTTGGCCCAAGACACTCGTGAATATCTGGGGTTCCTTTAAAGGCTTGCAGGGAGTCCATGAATCCCTGGAAATTTGTACTCATTGTGCATTATACTGCTTAAGCACATACAAAAATTCTAGAAGGCTAAATATATAATAAATTTAAAGGCAGTGAAGAACCACTTAACTCACTTAACTCTTTGGTTAGAAATTATATAAAGCTAAGAAATAGAGAGGAGCAAACCAATAATCCAAGTGCTATTGTTGAAATATGATGCCTCCAAAATTCAGACATTGCCATTGTGATAGGATTCAGAGATGTGGCCTTTGAGAGGTGATTGTGCCATGAAGTCTCCTCCTTCATGACCAGGATTAAGGCCCTTAAAAGAGGCTTCATGCCCTGTTAGGCTCACTTGCCTTCTGCCTTCTGCCAGGTGAGGACTCAGCAGGGGGTCCTCCCCAGACACCAGGTGAGGGTGCCTGGATCTTGGACTTCCCAGCCTCCAGAACTGCTCTTTATTAATTTCCCAGTCTCAGGTATTCTGTTAGAGCAGCATAGACAAAGGCAGAAACTGACACCAGAGGAATGGGATATCCCTGTAACAAAAATCTAAAAATGTGGAAGCAGCTTTGGAACTGGGTAACAGGGGGAGGCTAGAACAGTTTTGCAGTAAATGCTGGAAAAACCTATATTGCTGTGAACATAAAGTCGATTGCAATGCTGGCTCAGAAAAAGGAGAGAGTGGCTGGGCACAGTGGTCATGCCTGCAATCCCAGCACTTTGGGAGGTCAAGGTGGGTGGATCACCTGAGGTCAGGAGTTCAAGACCAGCCTGGCCAACATGATGAAGCCCCGTCTCTACTAAAAATTCAAAAATTAGCCAGGCCTGGTGCTGTGTGCCTGTAGTCCCAGCTCCTCCTGGGAGGAGGAGGTTGCGATGAGCCAACATCACACCACCACACTCCAGGCTGGGCAACAGAGTGAGACTTTGTCTCAAAAGAAGGAGGAGGAGGAGGAGGAGGAGGAGGGAAGGTCTGTTTCCTCCTAGAGACTACTTACCAGAATGTTGGCAGAAATAGGATAGTAAAAGCCATTCTGATGAGGTCTCAGACAGAAATGAAGAATACATTATTGGACACTGGGGGGAAATCCATCCTTCTTTCAAAGTGGCAGATAACTTGGTTGAGTTATGTCTGTGTCCTAGATCTCTTTGGAAAGCAGAAAGTAAGACTGATGAACTGGGATGTTTGGCAGAAGGAATCCCTGGGCAGCATTTGGGATGCTGTGTGGCTTCTCTAAACCGATTATAGTGAAATACATAAATTGCAAGAAGAGGGAAGCTATGCAAAGATGACATTTATATTTTTTTTTAAAGCAGAACTTAAAGGTTTGGAAAATCTGTTCTTTATAAATTACCCAGTCTCTGGTATTTTGTTGCCACAGCACAAAGGGACTAAGACACTGAGAAGAGCAGTGAGCCCTCAAAGCAACTCCAGCATCATTTCTCATGGGATCCTCCATGCTCTTCAAGTGACTCAACAATTGTTGGGAATCCAGCCACGTTTTAGGTCTGGCAGGCACACACAGATTTCTGACTATGAATGATCACGGTACTGTTATAGTTGTAGGAAAATTAGAATAAATTTTAATGTCCCTCCATAGGGGGTAGCAAATAAATGACGATGCTCTAATAAGAGTGAGGTAGCTCTGCTTATCCATATGGAAAGCTCCCCGATCCACACTGATCATTTAGAAAAGAAACTCGAAAGCTCTGTGTATAATTTCATTTTTGCAAACATAAGCAAGTGAGATATTTGAATTTATATCATTTTTATATTAAAATTATGGAAGGATGCGGATTCAAACATGATAAAGTTATTTACTAGGGAGGAGAGCTGAATTTGACTTGGGAGGTGATTTTCAGGTTTGGCTTTATAAATTTTAGATTTTACAGTAAGCCTGGATTCAGTTACTAGTATTGTGACCTAGAAACAAAAATGAGAAAAGCAAAGCATGGTCAACATGATGGTGAATACCAGGAATCACAGCCTTTCAGAGGCCAAGGTGAAAGAATTGCTTGAGGCTGGGAGTTTGAGAGCAGGCTGGGCAACACAGTGAGACCCCATCTCTACAACAAAAAGAGGAAGAAAAAATTAGCCAGGTATGGTGGTGCACACTTGTCGTACTAGCTGCTTGGAGACTAAGACAAGAGGATTGCTTGAGCCCAAGAGTTTTAGGCTGCAGAGAGCCATGTTTGCATCACAGCACTTGAGCTTGGGTGACAGAGTGAGACCCCATCCCTAAAAAACAGAAGGCAAAGAAAGACGATTCTAGTCACAGAAAAGTGCAGATTATTCGAGTTTGAATTTTTGTACAGTGAGACTATGTAAAATGATGTTTCTCTGTAGCTATGGAAACTTGTGAAAGCCACTCAGCTGTCCCTACTAAGGAAGCTGGGTGGAAACTACTGCACTTGGTTAGGGAAACCCAAACATGGTGGCATGAGACAGAAGCCTGTTCTTCTGTCAATCAGTCATTGAAGGAAGGGCAGCAGGATATTCCTCTTTAAGCTACCTGGGAGCCCAGCCTGCAGTCAGCTCCACCAGTCTCGTGCAGCATCCACCTCTGGTTAAAGAAGCTGTGTGTGGCCTTGACTCTTCCCAGCAGCAGGTGTGTCTATGAGAAGACCTCATAGTTCCTACATCACTTCAGCTCCCTTCTTGTTGGCCCTGTATGGCCACTAGTAGCCATATCAGCCGTCTTCCAGCCACCCTGTGGGAGAGAGGATGTCGCCGTGTGCTCAGCTCAGGGAAGCTGCTCTTCTCCTTAGCCAGGGCTACCATGGCAAAGCACCACAGCCGGTGCGGCTTCAGCAACACACATTTAATTCCTCATAATTCTGGAGCATGAAAGTCCAAGATCCAGGTGCCGTCAGGATTGGTGTCTGGTGAGGCCTCTCTCCTTGACTTGTAGATGCCGTCTTCTCCCTGTGTTCTCACATGGCTGTCCTCTGTGTGTGTCTGTGTCCTAATCTCTTCTTATAAGGACACCAATCCTGTTGAATTAGGGCCCAATATAACAACCTCATGTTACTGTAATCATCTCTTTGAAGGCCCTATCTTCAAAGATGGCCGCATTCTGAGGTCCTGAAGGTTAAGACTTTTGGAGATGAATTTGACGGAACGCAATTCAGCCAATAACAGCATTACTTTAAGAAAGCCGAGGGAACCAGAAGACCGTGGGTCTTTTTCCCCATGGTTGTGAAGAGGTGAGGAGTCCCCCACACCTTGCTTTTCTCCTCCTCTGCCCCCACACCAGCCTGTGAGGGGAGAGCAGGATGCTGATATGAACAACACGGAAGGACACACAGAAAGCTCCCGAAGGCGCCTCAGCCCTTTTGTGGTCTGCAAGTCTGACTCCATCCAGTCCTGCTCAGGGCTGTTTCCTCTACCAGTAACTTCTGCTGCCTTCCTCAATTGCAGGTGGGTTGGACTAGTCGGAGAAACCCAGGTAATAAAGTGAAGAATGCCTCACAAATCCTCCTGCGAGCCTCACGGCCTGTACCCCTCCAGGACACCGGGGAGCTTCTCCTGGGATCGCACGTGGCTTGTGCTGGAATTGCCTCTGGGAGGCTCTGCCCACTCAGCCCCAGACCCTCAGCAGAACAGCAAGGTGGGTCCCCCCATTCTCTCCCTTACCTGGATAAACTGTCGGCTTTTTCAGGCCCAGAAAACCCCTCTGGTTACTTGTGCTTGTTCATAATGCCTGCTTTTCATAGCTTACTAACTGTTGTCACTCAAACTTCAAATATATATATAGTATATATATATATATATATTTGAAATATATATATATATACATATATATACTATATATATATATACACACTCATACATATATATATATACATATATATATATATAATGTTGGAGACTCAGTCTTGGGTGGGCATATTCTAAAATAGAGACCTGGCTCCCTGGTTTTTCCTTGTTGTACACTGGGGATATCCACTACCTCAATTTGGTTTCCAGGTGGTAACCTCAAGCCCATGCAAGGTATGGTCAGAGAGGATGGTCAGGAGACAGAGCCTTGGTGGGTTGACTCATGGGGACTTCAGTCTTAGTTGCTTGCCAACCCTTAGCAAGTCCGCTCCTGACCAATCCCCTATTATTTTTTCATATCTGATGCATGAATACATCGAGGTTCACAAAGCTTGAGTAAACCTCACCAGGTTGAGTCCTGGAGGATGTAAGTCCTGCTGTTTTAGGTTCTGAGGCATCGGGGCTTTCCTCCCGCATCAGGCATTCCTCAATTGTCACTGCCCCTTTTCAGTGGATCATTACCTCTTGGGTAAATCAGACCTGAAAGGCATTCTCAATTTCTCCCCTTCTTTCTACAACAAGTCAGTCACCAATTCCTGTCCAGTTCGTCTCATGCACATTCCCCAGCCTGTTCCTGCTTCATTCCTCCTAAATCTCGGGTCCTCATCATTTCTCACTCAGATTTTACCAGGGTGATGATTTCAATCAGCCTCCATATGCTCCTGTTTCACCCATTTCAACGTATTCTCCAGGCAGATTTTTATAAAATGTAAATTTGATCACATCTCTCCTCTTTAAAATCCTTCCACTGCTTTTTCAACAGCCACATTGCAGTGAATTATTTTATTTTTCAATCTTTCAGGAGATTGCTATCAGTTTGAAAGACTGGATAACATTCATCTGGGTATTGCCTGAAAACATATCCTTAGTATATAGTACACACTTGCTAAGTATATTTGAACAGTTTTTCTAAAATAAATTTTAAAATATAATTAATACTATTTATATGGTGTCCTTCTCTCCACCCTTGATTTTTGTCAAACCACACCACTAGAAAGCTGCACCTCTACTGCACGGATCTTCCAAAACCAGATTTGATCTCCACCCTGCTTCTGCTAAGAAACATTCAGTAGCTTGTCACTGCCCAAAGCCCAGGATCTCTGCTGGGCCTGCAGTCTGGTAAGAATCAATCTTTAAGGTCCTTGACAAAGAACATGAGACTGTCAAGTACTCAATATGACAGGGAATTCATGTTTCATGTTAAAATTAGAGATAATTCCATTTATTCAGGAAACATATCACCATTCTAGAAAGCTAACTTGCAATGAAGATACAGGTGCAAACCACAGCACAGGAATCTGGGTTTGGGAGTCATTTCTCACTCTTGGGAGTCTGTGCATCGGAAGTCAGTTTCACGTGTCTTGATGAAGAAAAATGTTGAGGGCTATGGGCATAAAAAGCAGCTCCTTTGCACAAGACATGATTGTCTTTCCTCCTTGCATTTGGAAGAGACACTTCACCCTTCTTTGTCCAGAATATTCTATTCATCTTGCTCGTCCCAATTCAGAAACTACCTCTGTGAGGCTGTTCTCATTTCACTCAAGCAAAATCACTCACTTATTCCTGATTTCTTTCTGTTCCTATAGTATGAAGTTTTTTTCTCTGTATTTGTTCAGAACACATGTCTCTCCACAAAATCATGTATTTTAAACAATTATGAGTAGAATATTTTTCATCATCTTATTATTTATTGTATCTCTTCATACAAGTTGAATAATGTGTAATGAATACATTTTAAAATGCTTTTTGTCTTCAAGGAATATGAAATTTGGCAAGGAAAATAAAACTTATGATCTGTAAAATGGGGTAATAGTTTTATTTCAATAATTAAATGAAAAATTGAATACACCTAAAAGAGAATGCATTGGTTTGATTGCCCTTAGATCTAGCTTTATTGGATATATTAATAACCCACAGAAAGAAATTATGTCACCCTACCTGGTGGTGCAGTTAGCCATAAGTGTAAGGAAAGGTAGAGGCGTAGGCGTGAAGAGTGTGTGATTCCTAAGGAGAGAGGGTGTCACCCATTGCACTCTGCAGATTTCCAGTCCTCAAGGTGGACACGGTTCTCTGTATAAAGTAATGTATTGGCATTCTGGTGACAATCTCAGGTCCATGTGCATCTTAGTTGGTGTCTGTTGTCAGAATCTAACTGATTAAGTCAAGACACTGGCTGGAGTATGTCTTAGGTCTTCACATCAGAAAAACTTAAATTCCAGCTGTGTCCCCGGAACCTCAATGATTCCCAATAAGGTCTCAGTGGCCACCCTGGGGAAAGGAGGAAGGTGGGGGAGGGTCCCGCAGATAATTCCCCAGGTGGGTCTAGATCATCGCCAGAGAAGTTTGCTTTTGTGTGTTGTTTTGTTAATGTAAGTTTCCATATAGAGTAGCTGCTGGCCATATCAGCAGAATGGATTCATTTACACAGAAGTGCACTGGGTAAATGTCACCCCTTGCTCCAGCAATTTCTCGGAGCAGGGTGGGAAGTTTTCACTGCCAAAAACTTTTAGAAGGTCTTTTCTTTACATTATTCCACGGTTTATTTTAAAGTTTTATTCCACACTAACAATTTCTATGATCAAATATAAACTTGAATAATACAACTGACAACAGGTGCAAAAACTGCTATAAATTTTCAGAAGACAAAGGTTGCTACTGACTGAGTGATTAGAAGAGGAAATGAAGCAGCATTTGAAGTGGTTTTAATGGATAGCTGGGCTTTGAACAGCTGAATGTAGGAATAGATTTAAGCAGAAGGAATTAAAATGTTGACTGATGACTCAGACATCAGGCTCTGGAGTGAGACTGCAAGCATGTTAATTATCATTTTAGTACTGACCTTGTAAACTTAGTGAATTACACAATCTTTCTAGGCCTTATTGTATTAATCCCTTCAATGGGAATATTCATAATAACCTCATAGAGCTGTGGGGGTATTAGGATGAAAAAAATTACTTGAATTTTATTCAGTATCTAATTATAAATCTTGGGAAAATTTTTTAATGAATGATACAGCAAAGGAAAACTTGGCAAGACACATACATGCACAAACAACACACTCAGACACATCTAAACACTGAAGTTTTTTCACCTCAATTTTTATAGAAAATATTAGCTAAAATATATATAAAATAATGCCAAAGGCCACATACCCTAAGCATCCTTCCATCAGCATTTTGTGCATTTTTCCATAAGAGCTCTAATGTGTACTTAGACAATAGAAAGGGGGGTCAGCACAAAAGCTCGATGCAGCCAAGAAGCTCCGCCAATGAAGTAATGTGCTAGACGCGGAGGTGTAGACATAGTGTGATGAAAGCCTGCAGACTCTGGAGTGTAGACATTTATCCTTCCTTCCCAAAGCACGCTGCAAAACTGCATGTGATTCTCGAAATACTAAAGCTAATGCTGGAGACTTCAGCTCCCAGTAGTGACAAAGTAGATTCTATCAGATTAACTCCCCTGACAATTACAAGTATAAACTCTGGACAAATATTAAAAAATAAATTTTTGATGGCACTGAAGAGTTTCCAAAACCAGCAATAACTGAAAATAATTTTTGCGATGACAAAGGAGAACCACAGGAAAGTGACTCAAATTTTCCTCTCTTTTCCCATGAAGGCACTTCCCAGCTTTTTCAGGTCATGAGGGAGAGAGATCAGGCAGAAGGCAGCATCCCATCAGGGCCTAGAAGTTAGTTGTATTTGGGAAATGTCAGAAAATTGAAAGGAAGAATTCACAAATACAAAAAAATTAGCTGGGCATGGTGGCAGGTGCCTGTAGTCCCAGCTACTCAGGAGGCTGAGGCAGGAGAATGGCGTGAAACCGGGAGGCGGAGCGCCACTGCACTCCAGCCTGGGCGACAGAGCAAGACTCCGTCTCAAAAATAAATAAATAAAAAAAAATAAATACTTTAAAGTATTTGTTGCTTTAAAAAATTGTTTAAATGTAAAATGTTTAAAATGAACAAAAGCAAAAACAATGTAGTTAGAGCTTTATAACAAATGTAAAAGTTAAATATAGGACAATATTCGTACAATAATTTGCAGTTGTTGTAAGATTCTTACATTAAACATACAGTGGCATAGTGTTAACTTAGTGTCGACCATGATAAATTAAGGTTCTTCTGAGAGAGAAGAAAGCAAAAAAAAAAAAAAAAAAAGCATAGTTCAAAGCATAGTTAATAAAAGAGACTAAACGCAGCATTTGAAGTTACTTGATTAACCAAAAAGATAGCAGGAGAAAAGGAGAAAGACAACAAGGGGCAGAGGAGAAAAAGAGAACAAATATCAAGTCTTTATAAACTTAAGTTGTTACATTTATATATCAATAGTTACATTAAATGTTAATGGACTTGACACTGGACACTACCACTGAAAGAAAGAGATTTTCAGAATCACTGAAAAAGCAAAGTCTACTATGTAGTATTTAATAGAGGCATATTTTAAATATAAAGACACAAAAAATGTGAAGGCTAAAAATATGGAAAACATTATCACATAAACACTAAATATAATCAACCTCGTATAGCTATATTAATATCCAGGAAAAGAGAAGCTCAGGATAAAGAAGTTCATTATATGAATAGAAAAGGTAAATACATCAAGAAGATATAATAATATAATATTAAGCCGGACATGTTGGCTCATGCCTGTCAATCCCAGCACCTTGGGAGGCCGAGGCGGGCGGATCACAAGGTCAGGAGATCGAGACCATCCTGGTTAATACGGTGAAACCCCATCTCTACTAAAAATAGAAAAAAAATTAGCCGGGCGTGGTTGCAGGTGCCTGTAAGTCCCAGGTACTCGAGAGGCTGAGGCAGGAGAATGACGTGAACCCGGGAGGTGGAGCTTGCAGTGAGCCGAGGTCGTGCCACTGCACTCCAGCCCGGGCAACACAGTGAGACTCCGTCTCAAAAAAAAAAAAATAAAATAAAATAATAATAATATAATATTAGAGGTTCAAAATATTTGAAGCAAAATAGAACTAAAGAGAGAAACTGACAAATTCTTTCATAGTTGGACATTATAACATCATTCACTTTGTAGTTGTTAAAAGAAATAAAACAAATCAAAAAAGTCAATAGAAGACATCATTGTCAACTTGACAGATATTTATAGGATCTATATGCAGCAATGACAAATACATATTATTTTCAAGTGTACGTTGAACAGTCATAATGTAGACCATATACTGTGCCAAAAAACAAGTCTTGATAAATTTAAAAGGACTGAAGTTATGAAGAGTTTGCTCATAACAGAATTGTATTAGAAATCAATAAAAATGAAATGTTTTTAAAATCTCCAACCATTTGAAAATTAAGCAAGGAACTTCTAAAGAAATCCACAAGTCCAACAGAACTCTCAAGAAATTAGAGCCTGAAGCAGGATAACTATTCTGCCTAGTGATGGGAAGTATAACACAAAAATGAAAACTTCCTGCCAATTCATATCAGAAAGTTGAGTCAGTATAGTGGAGAAGAAAATTGAAACCTTCTGAGGATGCACATAAATATGAGACGAAGAATTAAGTGTGGTAAAAAGACAAAGAATGAACCATGTCTCTTGCCCAGGATCACACATGAAGTCAAAAGAGTCTCCTAAATTCCAATTTGAGGAACTGACAATTTTGAAATAACCAAAGTTTAAACTTCTCCAGGGCTTGTGTTACACCATCTCTCCCTGAAGAAGTTGGAGGGCCAAAGAATTATTCATCATTTTATGTTTAGTTTTGAGTCAATTTTCCAAATTTTTAGAAAAAAATGTTTTTTTCTTCTTTTAAAAATTGCTTACTCTGAACAGCTTTGTTGATCTATAATTTACATATAATAATAGTCAACATTATGTGTGCATCTTGATGATTTTTAGTAAATTAGCATAGCTGTGTAACCATCACAATACGATTTTAGAGCATTTCGGTCACCTCCCAAAAGATTCTGCATGCTTGATCACCAGTCGATCCCCACTCCCGCCCCCAGCCCCAGGCCCATGCTGCTCCAGAGTCTGTAGAATTACTATTTCTAGACATTTCATATGAATGAAATCATAATATGTGGAATTTTTTTCTGGCTTCTTTCACATAGTGTGATTTTTTAGGTTCATCAGTGTTGTAATGTGTGTCTTTTTAACTACTTGATGTGTTATTTACATTTCATAGGCATTTCCTTCCACAAAGAAGACTTCAAGACTAACAAGAATGTTTTATATAAAAGTCTTTTACGTCAAAAGTGTACTAAGACCAAGAAGGCTAGGGTGTCTGCTCCTAAAAATTTTGTTCAACATTTTGCTAATGGGTCTAGCCAGTGCAATAAAGCAAGAAAAATAAATACCATATGCATTTTACCTTATAATAAAAATTAGTTTAAGTCTTTTCCAAGTATTTTTAAAAGGAGGCTTTAAAAGTCAAAGGTTTAATTTTCTTAAAGTATCATAATTTTTTTTCTTAAGACATAGTCATCCACATTTCTTCCTAAGTATAATGTCTTCAGAGTTGCCAATTTAGAAAAAAAAGTATAGATAAAATATTTTTTAAATATCTGCGCCCATAGCTATGACTTACAGTGAGGGTCTGAGTAAAGAAATATGCTTTCAGAGGAATGGCAGTAATTTCCTAAGTGTTATCTTCATGGCCTGAAGAAGAACATTTTGCACTCACCCCTCAAGATCACCGGCCTGTAATATCCAAGTTCCCAGCACTCTGCCCTAAGAGGAGGATTAAAGGGACACTCCCTGTACCAGCCACTCCGCTGGGCCCTGCACTTGCCTTCAGGTAATCCCAGGGATCTTCCAGGTCAGTGAGGCCCCTGGAGAAAGAGGAGATTTAAATATGCTTCTCAATAATGCACTTCTACCCTGGTGCTTCCCAAACTGTGTCCCAAAAACATGGGTTTGCAAGTTGACATCTGTTTTCTGGGGCGGGAGGCGGGGGGAAGACTTTTTTGCCCATGTAATGCTGGTTAAATAACTTAAGAAGATCTCTCTACCATAAGGTCTCTCAGAATCTCTATCATGAAAAAGGGCTTCATAAGTCCCCAGTGAGGTCTAGAGAACAATTTATTTCCCACTCCTTTTTTTTTCTGAGACTGAGTCTTGCTCTGTCGCCCAGGCTGGAGTGCAGTGGCACAATTTCAGCTCACTATAACCTCTGCCTCCCAGGTTCAAGCGCTTCTCATGCCTCAGCCTCCCAAGTAACTGGGATTACAGGCGCCCACCACGACGCACAGCTAATTTTTGTATTTTTAGTAAAGATGGGATTTCACCATGTTGGCCAGGCTGGTCTCCAACTCTCGACCTCAAGTGATCCACCCACCTCGGCCTCCCAAAGTGCTAGAATTACAAGCATGAGCCACCATGCCCGGCCTTTCCCACTCTTCTTTACCCATACTTGCTATCCTAGCCCATACATCCTATTTCCATTGTGTTGGAAAATTACAATGGAAAATTGTAATTCATAAAATATTTTTTGGCCGGGTGTCATGGCTCACATGGGCAGATCACCTGAGGTCAGGAGTTCAAGATCAGCCTGGCCAGCAGGTGAAATCCCATCTCTACTAAAAATACAAAAATTAGCCAGGTGTGGTGGTGGGCACCTGTAATCGCAGCTACTTGGGAGGCTGAGGCTGGAGAATCTCAAACCTGGGAGGCGGAGGTTGCAGTGAGCCGAGATCGCACCACTGCACACCAGGCTGGACGATGAAGCAAGGCTCCATCTCAAAAAAATAAATAAAATAAAATAAAATAAAAGAATCTTTTAACAACTACAGGAGTCGCAAATCAAAGTTTGGGAAGCATTACTGTGTTATTTTGCTTTTAGTAGTGGGTTAGCTGTTGGTTTACGGTGTTTCTTAGAGGATGAAGGAAGTATCAAATAAACTGCTCTTTTAAGCAGCTTATTCAAATATCCCTAGAGTCAGACTGAAGAAGCAGTTTCTTAAGCACTGCCAATAGTGTCTCAGGCCCCTTTTGCTCCTCTTTCCTGACCCCAGCGAGTTCCCTGACTCTCTCGCCGTGTCCAAATGATGCCTTAGGATGTTATAAAGTAGAGCGTTCAATTCATCTTTCCGGAAGTGGCTAAACCCAACTGCCCAGGTGAGTTGATGACTGTCCCAGATTTTTACCCACAAGGTGCCCTGTAAGGCCCAGAGGTTCATATGCCAATTAACCAACCCAGAGCTCTGAAGGACATTTGAATGCTTTCCCTGTTAATACACGAGAGCTCCATCACAATGCCCCCGAGCTGTACAGTAGACAATTCTGCTCATCTGTGTGCTGCCTCTGCTATGTGGGACCACCCGGGTTATTGCTTCTTCATGCACACAACTGCACGTTCATTTGCATTACCTTTTATTTAAGCTGTGTGTTATGACATGAGACCAGATGAAGGTTTTCCTCTCCAGAACACCTCATGTACTCTGCATCCAAGAATCTTAATTTTAAGACTGAATTCAGCAATTTTATTTAGAATTCATACACTCTTTGTTTTGCTACAGCTGTCTCCATTCCCCCTGCTGGGTGAGAAACCTGTGCTTTCGTTGCTTGGAGAATGTTTCAGGCACTCACATGCAGGCGTGTTGGTGTGCCTTTGTCAACATCAGTGAAAAACTTTCCAGACTTCATGCACATTTTTATTAGTTTCCTTCCATCATCAGTGATCTGCAAAAGCTAAATTAATAGTCGTCAGTATTACCCTCTCAGTTCAGATTCCTTCTCATGCTGAGCAAACGGCAAAGTAGGTGCTTTCTGGGCTGTTTGAGAATTCCTCAGTTAGGGGATTCTGAGAAATGACCGTGTCTGCTAGAGCAGAGTAGGTCAATCTCACTAAAAAGCAATTGATGAGGTAAAGCATTGGGAAAGAAGTCCTAAAAAGCAGTAAACACTTAGATTGCTTCTCTATAAAATGAACTCTAGTCTGCATAATTTTAATTTGAATTTTCCATGATTTTTATCATTGGAATAGATTGAACATGAACTTTCAAATCAGTTTTCCTAAATGCTTAAGGTCTAGCTCAATAACAGTTTGTTTAAAAAAATAACAATCCTCCGTATGCAAATCATCTTATTGACAAACAAACTATTCTCCTAGGATTTATGGAGCTGTACAATATTCTTGGTGGGAGGGACATGTTATGAATGAGATGTCAGTGTAATTCTCAAACTCCTGTGACATTATAGAGCCAGTAGAACAGAATAGCTAAAAGTGAACATAATAAGTGTTTGTTAATTCATTCATTCATCATCAATTTATTGTTTCATTGAAAATCATTTATTTAATTCTGTGTTTAAGATTTTGTTATGAGCCTGTCATTATGGGGAAGGAAGATGTGTAGAAACAGATGTCAGAATTCCAGGGTCACCGGGCATGGTTCTGGGACCAAGTAACTGATGGATGCATCGACTTCTCCAACTGGAAATGATTTTCTTGGTGTGGTCACCAGACGGTGTGCAGCCCACATGCACCTTGTGCTCCTCCCTCCAAGGTGACACCTGCCCACCCTACTGGCTTCTGCCTGTCCACCTGACCCGCTTCAGCCACTGAGATGGCAGCCCGTGTGATCTGAGCAGAGGCACTGGCTGTGCTTTTGTGGTTAGAGGCTCTTGCACTTTGGCCATCTGCCATGAGGAAAACATGCTCTGGGGAACCACTGGCTCCAGAACAAGACAGACACAGAGCAGACTCCATCCTGGCACTAATGCAGCAGGGCGGTTCTCCAGCCTGAGACCCGTTGCCAAGGGAAAATTCCTGTTGTTTCAAGCTTAAGAGGGCTTTGTAAAATTCTTATTTGTAACATAGAATCACGAATACACCTGACATACTGATGTTCCCTGGGGACCAAAGGTTGCTGTATTCTACATTGGGAAAGAGAAATAAATGCAAAGAGGATGATAACAACATAAGCTGACAAGTATTTGAGGGCTGTCTGCATCCAGGCTGTTCTGTGAGTGCTTTAAGCACAGTGGCTGATGTACACCTCAGCGGCCCTGTGAGATGAACACGACTCCTTCCATCTGAACTCCGTTGCTGCTGAACACCAGGTCAGGCCACACAGCAGGCCAGACTGGAAGCCAGGAGTGGATTCCTGAGCTGCCTCCTAACCACAAGACCGGGGTGGACATCTCCACCCCAACTGCAGAGAATGCATGGTTCCCGCCAGGAGAGCCAGGGCTGCACTGGCCAGTTCTACCAAGGGCCAATGGCTGAGGCTTGTGCCCTCCACACTTTGAACATTTACATTTCCTGCGTATTATATAGAATGTGGGCACATGTGTATAAATTTATATTTGCATCAATTTATCCGTCTAGAAATAGGAAAGTCTTTTCGCAGCTGGCATGAAAAGGAACAAATCTTTTCTTGCTGCCAAATCAAATTACATGTTCAGCCCCTTCTATCACCTCTCCATCAAGTGTGGTTGTGTTTCTTAGGCATGAGGTGATAATTGACCACATGTGGATGACTGTCATGTTATTTGAAATGTTTATCTGTGTCTATGATGTGCTGTTACTTATGTCCATGGCTGCATAAGTGTTACTCCTTTCTAAAGATAACACAGTTACCCCACCCCCAGTCAAGGTACTACTTATGTTGCTATTGAATCTGTGTCTAAATACCCAAAATCCAATGACAAATTGAGAGGATTTGTGGCAAACTTAAAAATAAATGTTTCTGCTTCAGCTTCAAAGATACTGTTACTAGTCGTGTGTTGAGTCCTCTGTGTAATTGCCTCAATTCTGCCATTTACTTTACTTTTGTGTTCACAGACCAGGCAGGCCTGGCCTCATCATTCCGTGTTCTGAAACTCCTCCGGGTGCTGCGTTGCAGACTCGGTTCTATCTCTGAAATGCAGCCCTGCTACTTGTTCTACTTTGGGAACCAGTGTGAATTCAAACCATCCCTGGAAGGTTGTGCATCGAACCAGGAAGGAATGAATAACTTCCATCAGACATCCCTATATTTTATGTCAAGCCTCTGCCATGTCGTCTGGAAGAAAATCCATTTAATGAATGCCATTCTCGGGAGCTGGGCGAGGCTCCCGTGCTGGACAGGGTTTGATACCTGAGGTCGGAACCACAGCTGAAAACATGGCCAGGGATCAGACCCCGGCGAAATGGACAGGACTCCGCACCTGTGTGGCCGGCGTTCACGATGAGGTAACGACAAACCATGGCTTTGGGGGCCATCCTGTTACAATTTCATTTGCTCCTGATGGAGCTGCTTAGGTCAGCCCTCGTCCACCATCCAGTCAAGCTCCATGTCTCTGATTCCGGCAGACATTCTGCACTGAGCACAGCCCAGAAAGGATGGGATCTGAATGACCCCATACTCACACACTGCGTTTGAAAGAACCAAGGCCTCAGCCCTCTTTCCACTTTGCTTCCATTAGTTGCAAATCCCCCTTGTCCTTTTTAATTTTTAATTACCATTGTCTGTTCACCTTTGTTTTACCCATGACACCTTCAATTTAAACAGTATCAGAGAGGTTGATGTGAACAGTTTTCTTTTCAGCTTAAGTGACTGCAGCTCGTTTAGTTGTTAATTATGCAGGGAGGTTTGCATGGCTGAGGCTGGTAATTTGAATATGCTCTTGATGTCAGGGCTATGTCTGGGCGGCTGAGCTTGTAAAAGGATTATGATGATGTATATATGGTTCATGGCTAAGTGGGCTAATGAAAGTACCTCATTTAATCAAACACAATTAATTAAATTAACTTATGATATTAACCCATCTTTTCGTGCATGTATAATTTATATTAATTGATTTGCTGCATTCAAGTTGACCAATCAGGTGGGTTGTTGGCAGCCTAAGGACTAGGGAGGTGTCATTAGCATTACTTTGATGCAAACCATAATTGATGGGTCAGTGTGTTTTAGAGATGTAGCGAAAGCTTTGCTAATTGTCATAAGAAGTTGAAATTGATTGTGTCTGCATTAGTACATAAATTTAAGTTGATTAATGTTTTGTTCTAAAATTAATGTCCATTCTGGATGGGTGATACAATGCTTTATTTATTGGATTCATTAATGCAGTCTAAGGAAAAAATAGTGTTGAAGTTAGGTAACTGAGGGTAGATCGTTAGGAGTGAGTTCAGTGGAACCGTCGCAGAGACAACAGCGTCCGACGCACAGGCTGTGCTTCCAGCCGGCGAGAGCTCTGCTCTTTAAAAATGTCTGAGCATGAAAGCGTCTAGTGAGGCCATCCACGTTGAGCATTTAATTAAAGCTCCTTTAAAGACAATTACAATGGAAAGCACCTTTACCGTGGTGAACCATGTGGGGGGCTGTGTACGGGGGTCGTGTTCTAGAAACATGATCACTTTCTGGCTGAGGCTTGGATGCTCAACGTCATCCCAGTTTATACCAACCTCCCCTACAAAAAAAGAAAATGCTCTCAAACTTGCTTGAATTGCAATTTGTACTTTACAACCAATTGACAGAGATCATGAAATCTGAAATCACAGACGCTTTATTAGAGCGTAGAATTGAAGCCTAGGCTGCGTTTTCCACAGACGCTCTTACGGAGTGAGTTTTCATCTGAAGATTCTCTAGTTAATGTGATTTGGGACCTGCGCTGGTTTATGGTATCAGACTGGCATTTAATTCGGTGGACTTTCCTAACCTGACATCTAATATTTTAAAGAATAATTGCTAAAACCACTTGCCTTAGTAATAAAAATATGCATTTACATTATTACTCAAAACAGAAATGCATTGAGAGTGAAGGGTCAGAGATCCACTGAAAAAATAGTTTAATTCATTTATAACTCCTTTTCTTTTCTTACCAAGGAAAGCTTAACATCTGCTTCTTATAAACTAATTTAAATAGAAAATGTGTAATGCATCCTTTTACCAAATGGCTCTTTTTTTATTGGTGGAATAAAGCAGTTTCGCTGTTTGGTTTTTACTACAGTGCATTCATGCTCTTAGAAATGAGACACCTCTGTGTTCACAAGGAAACATTTTGAACTTCACATGCTAGAGAGAAGATTAGATATCCCTCTTTGCTGTCTTATGAAGTATGTAAAGTATTATTTACAGACAGTTTACTGAGTCTGAAACAGTTGAATTATATTCAAATATCACTCCATGTGGTGGCACTATGGAGTCACAGACAATGATTGCTTCTCTGAGAGCAACTTCTTCTTAACTTTTGTGTTGTGTTAATGGATGCGTTGCACTTGTTTTCTATCGTCAGATTTTAAGGACAGCAATTCAAAACCAAGTCCTATTATTCTGAGACAGCAGTGATGAGCTTTGCCACGGCTGCGGTTGTATGTGCTGTGTGGGGAAATGAAGTTCTTATTACTTGTTTAAATTATGTTTAGTGCTTCTGTTTTATATATCCTAGAATTATACATGCCTCGTATCTGCTATATGCATAAAATACATTTGTATATGTGTAAGCTTCTTAAACATCCAGCAGAAAACTGGCTTGGATCTGAATATTCCCACGTTCTGCTTTCGTCTTCAAAATGAAAAAGAGAGTTCATTGCTTATTCTGGAAATATTACAAATGAAATCTCCTCTCTTTTTTAAGAAAGTGATTTCCTTAAGACACACGATACAGAAAAAGAGCTCTTCTCCCTAATACTGGATTATTTTTCAATGGTTAATGGAACTGAAAACAACGGAAAGCAAGCTGGTGGGAAGAGAGCAGAGGGCGGTGCGATGTCAATACAGTAATATTTTAGGAAAACAACTGCAGAGATAGCTTTAGTTTTACAATGTGAAAGCTTATTGCATGATCACTTAAAAATTTTAGCTGTCTTTACAATTGTTATTGTGCTGTTGCTGCTTTTGATGTTATTTTAAAGCACAAAAGGAGGAAAACTGGCTGTAGACATATTCGTGCATATTGGCAAGGGCAGAATTCAAATGAGTATCTCAGGAAACATGGTCTTAAATTTATTTGCTGGCTTTTCTTAAGGTTGGGAAGGTAACAAAGATAGTGATTTAAAATAATATTGTCTTAATTTAGCAGTTATGTGAATGGGTCACAGATGTTCTAAGAGAAAATTAACATTGTTTTGTTAAAACAGAAAGGCTTAAGTCTATGCAGAATGTGGCGGTGGTTGGAATAATTATTTTGTTAATCAGGTAGTGGTTTATACCGAGGCATAGCAGGGCTCTCTGTAGATGCGGTGTTTCAGGGAGCTGGGCTGGGAGGCCGAAGGCTAAGGAAGGCAGAGATCCCTGGCTTCCAAGCTGCTCCACCATTGCCTGGGTGGAGATGGGAACCTGAGTCCTGGGACAAAAGAACCGAGAGATGCTGTGCTTCCTTCCTGCTTCAGGCCGGCCTGGGAGCCAGCACTGGTTTTTGTTAGGAATTGCATTTCCGAATAATCATTCTCTGTTCATCTTCATGCCCCCCGATTGCAAGGCTGCTGTTCTGTGTCTGAGACCCCAAGTAAAGCGATCCTGCCAGCAGTAGGTGTCACTGCAGTCAGTAAGAATTATTTCAGAGAGTTGCTAAAGAATGGGAAATGATTTCTAAAGTCCAAAAGAAAGAATTATCATAAAATGCTGGCAAGGTAGAATGGGAATAGTTTTATAGCTTGTTGTCTTGAATATTGAGTTATTACAGTTTTAATGATTGACGGAAATAAAACCGCCATTGAAATCCTTTTCGATTTCTTGAAGCCTGATAGGGACAAACAGTGTTTTCTGTCTACATCCTAGAAAGCAGACAGACAACAGCTCCCCTGCAAGATCAAACATTTTTTACCTGTTCTCTTCTTCCTGGGAGTGTCCAATCTAGTATGCCAAATGAGTTTATCACTTATCAAAACATATTTATGATCCAAGTACTGCAGAACTGTTTAGGGCTTTGGGTAAGACATTTTCCATGCACCTTCAAGAGCCCATTCCATAGTCACTTTATTATATATACATATGCATAAAAAGTTTTCAGAGAGGGAAAAAAATCTCTTCTAAAAGGTGGTATGCCACTAGGTGTTTACTTTTAAGGCTACTTCATGAATATTTGCAAGAATTTTTTTAATACTGCCTGCACACAAAATGCTATAGAAGATCAAAGTCATTTTTCATGTCAATTTTATTGTTGCCATATGGGGTTAGTAAAGAATGCTAAAAGTGCACTTTTATCTTTCACGTTAGACTCCTAGGTAAAGACAACAATGACACAGTCTAACAGTCATTTCGATTTTGCTTCATATAAATAGATATTTTGCCCATAGGCTATCAATGTCTTCTTGCTTTATATTTCTTAATGCTTGAAGGATAAAGATTTTATAATTCAGCTCTTTTAATTTACACAGCTTAATTTTGTTCCTATTTGTCATTTGCTTCGATTAAAAAAAGTGTACAGTTAAGGCATCAGATCTCTTCTAGTGATGTTATCAGGACTTGATTTTTTAAGTAATCTGTGCAAGATGAACTAGGTTTTGTCAGAAGTTGCTTTGCCTTGGATATATGTACAGTTTATTCAAAAATGTTTTAAAAGAATGTATTTTGTCCTCAGACAGGCAGGTAAGTCTCTGAAATAAGCTGTTCTTCCCCGTAAATGAAATCTCTTAATTCTGTTGTGTTTTCCACCCCATCAAAAACAGTTGGAGAAGGTCTGACCCCCTATCTGACCTTCGGAGTGGTGTAATATGGGATCGTATGACAATTCTATGGGAAAGGACAATTACCTATCAGAAAAGGCTGGCATTGCTGAATTCCAATCAAATAGCAAGCGGAGAGGAGTCTTCGTATTACCATTACTTTAAAGTTGCTGATGGAGTTACTATTTCCTATCAACTTTTGTGAGTGCACAAAGAGCACACTGTAAAAACATACACTTGTACCTCAAATATATTTGAATAAATCAATAACCAAGAAATAATTACATAAAATTAAACATTATGCGTAAACACATAACCTCCCAGAAAGAGGTAACTTGTGTTTTAATCTATACTATATATTTTATGCTAAAATAAATATTTGATTTCTCTTAACACTTTCATTTTAATTGATATGTTTTAAAATAGAGTGCTTTCATAGATTAGGAACATAAATTTCATGTTTAATGTAAGATGCTCTGCAACAGGAATCAAATTTTGCGCTTGCATACGGACATTAAATCGAAGCTCACAATCCAGTGATTTCTGCAGTGGTACATTTTTATTATCACTTAAACTCTTTGCTTGGATATGCCGTCTACGCAATGGGACCTGCTGTAATCGTTTTCTTATCGGCTCACCTAGTGGGGAAGGTCTTTATTTCCCAGCTATGAAGAACGAGACATGAGGACAGTTAAACTTAGGGGAAGGATTTCATTTCCACGTGTTGATAATAATGCTATGATTAATTAGAATAGCTTAAACAGAGTAGGGATAGTTTTAAAACTGCCTTTCAGATTATTTTCTCGTGAGTGGTTAACCCTGCAATATTTATAACCCTGGAGTCTCAATATAATCTTGTGCTTCTTGTATTTCTAGCAATTGATTTTTTTCTTTATCATTTGTGGCAAAATAAGCTAAGCCCAATGATTTTAAGTATAGGAACATATCAAGTCAATGATGCCTATTGTCTTCATAGGCATTAGGGTCTCAGGGTCATGAAGCTTCCAGAGCCTCTGTCTCATGTTTTTTTTTTTCTCAGTTTGTGGAGAAGAGACCAGGGTTAAAGCTAGGCTACTCTTAGCATTAAAAAAAAAAAAAAGTTGTGTAACAAAATTTAAAATAAAATTTGATCTTTAAAATGCCCAGAGCATGATAAAGCTAGAAATTGTCCATGCTCTTAAAAATTCAAATAAAAAGCAAACCAACAGAACAGGCCTTTACTTTAGAAATGTCATTTTTTAATGCCTCCTGCAAAGATGACTATAATCTGTAGGAGAAAAAAACAGCCACAAATACGTAGTACATACTTGGAAAACTTACAGCCAACAATGTTGCCATTTTTCTATTATAAAAACGCATTTTGCATTTTAATTATTTGATATTTGATATTATTACTTTCACAAATATTAGTTTAAATTCCACAAAGCCAATGATAGCATGGAACTTATACATTCCTGTATTAAATGTATACACACAGCCCCCAAACATACGGGATTGGCACGATAGCAGTTCAACTATATTTCTAGTCATTGTTATGGAATTTTGGAATACAGTCCCTAACTTAGAGCTGCTGCAACCAATATGATATTAAGCTACACTCCTGCATCTGTCAAAATATTATTTCACTTTGTCCTTGGTCTCATGCACTAATTTTGTGAAGAAACCACAACGTATTTGACACTTTGGTATTTCCTTAGTAATGTCATGCTAAGGGTTAAAGTTGTCAACTGTTCAGATTTGGACTGAAGTGCTTCTAACACACATAATCATGTCTGTACATATGATAACCATTTTGGATGATATAAAGTTGCCGAGAAGAAGTCATGCTGTTTTTGTGTATGTGTTGGTGCACATAAAGACAGGGATGACACTTTGGCTGTTAATAAAATTTGAAATACATACCTCGAAATAATTCCAAGATAAAAAATAATTATTATCCTAAGATAAAAATGTTAATATTTAAAATCAAATTTGAACAAAAATCAGTAATGGGGGGTAGATGTATATTTATGAACCTTTTAGGAAATATTTCATATTGACATTTTCTATGATATTATAGTCTCTATTATATTTCTATTATAATTCATTAATTTTTAGACATATGCATAAAAAATAGAATTGTTAAAAGTAATATTGGGTTAGCATAATACCCACGAAGGATTGTTTTTATTTCTATGGATCACGGCTAGAGAACAAAGACAGAAGTGATTAACCCTAAGTGTGAAAATTGGTTATCTGTATAAATTGGCCCCAAAGGAAAATTTTCCAGATAGGTTTTCTTGTCCCTTGACATGATCCCATCAAAATCATATTTGCCCCCTTGTCACGTTACTTTAGAAGGGTGTGCTTAGGAAAGGGAACAGGTGCCCATGTGTATTGATCAGTGGTCATGGTAAAAGGCTCTTATTAGATGTTGAAGGGTACCAGGAAGGCGTGAGAAATGGAGGCGAGAGGGCAGGACAGGTTATTGATGATGGTAATAACCGAGCGCAAGGGGCTCCGACACCGCAGCCGTAAAGTTGGCCAGATGAGCACATCAGTGTAGATACGTTGAGGGGAAGAGACAACATGAAGAAGTATGGAGCGCAGCTTCCTACCTGGCAGAGTTATTAAAGTTCATTGAAGGAAGATGAACTGTTTCAATATGTTAAACACTGGAGGCTGTTCAGAGAGAGTTGCTGTCACAAGAAGCGCCATTGTTTGGGGAGCTTTTGTGTTTTTTTTTTCTTTCTTTCTCCTTTTGGAAATTTGAGTTTGTTTTCACACCAGCACAACCTCTGTATCTTAGCTGTCAGCACAAGCTTTGGAAAAGCAAATAAACAAAGCCTGTCTGCAGGAACTTGGTAAGCCTCTAATTTCTAAAAGTTGCCGCTCAACTTGTGAGTCAACAAGAACATCAGGTTAACGCTGCTGTATATTTTTAAATGTTAATTTACTCATTCGGCGCTATGATGTCTTCCTCAGCCAGCTTCACTGAGCACACACCACTGCCAGATCATTGGATTCACACATGCTGAGGCTTCAGTGGCTCAATGTGGGTTGAAGATGCAGTGGTGGAAATACATTTAACCAACATAATTTGGAGGCAGAATATGCCATTTTAAATTACCCTAAAGTAATTAATTTTGAAGCCACAAAAAATTAGGAAAAATAATTCTATATTTTTGCTGGAATGCAGAGATCTCTAAAGTAAGAGACAGGCAATTCTCAATATACATTTTGCTTCAGGGTTAAACTTGCTTCCTCTAAGGAAAGGTCACAGCAGGATCCAATGTTTCTAATCCTACTACAGTGTAATGACATTTATGGGATGTTTGCAAATGTGTACCAAGCTGCCCTGTTCAGAGCGGTATTTTATTGTAGCACCTCGATTAGCCCTGCCTGCTACCCTTGGCATCCGTGTGAAGTCCCATCTAGGCACGAGGAAGAGAACAAGAGTGGCAGCATGTTGAGGGTCCTCACCGGGACTGGAGCAGATGCCACTGGACCCTTCCAGGAATTCTTCAGTTCTGTTCAGTTCTGGTTCCCACCGTGTGATGAAAAGCAACTCAACAAACCTATTCACCTTTGTAGGTTTCCAGAATAAAAAGTTGTCTTATGAGAAACTTGGTTAGTTCCATGGTTTTTACTCATTTAAAAACCATGACATTTCCACAGTTACATATAACTGTATATATAACGTAAGTCCCATATTCTTGCATAAACGTTGGCGTTTTATATACTATTCCTTCCTCCAAATGGACTGTCAGATCGATCCTGCCGTCATCTCCCTTGAATGTGTATTTGTGGAGTTATGTGCTGTGTTTTTTCACACATACGTGTGTTTTGGCCAAGTTGGACAAAGGGTCATTCTAATTTGCAATCGTACTTGGTGGTTTTGTTCTTTCCGCTTTTTCTTAAAAGAGTATCTGATATTTGAAACATAAGATGAAAATACTAAAACCGTTTTGTAGAACATTGCTGGCCAGTTTAGACTCAAGATTCCTTAACTCCATTCAATCACTGAGAACCGGTCTAAGGAGCCTATTCCATGCTGGCCACAACCCCATATAAATAAACCAATTTAACAGCGTTTTCTGTCCTAAAAAAAATAAAACGTGTCCCTGCTCAGTGAAGCCAAGAGCAGAAACTCTATTTAAAACAGGTTTATTGTCGGCATTTCTTCCCTGAAGTATAGACGCGGCCTACGAAGGGGCCCCACACAGCAGCACCGAATTGTTTAATTAAGGCCCCAGCCAGGGGGACCAGGTGGATGAATCATCAACATTAAGCAGGTGGCAATTACCAGATGGCGAGGGGGGGGCGGCACACACAGACGGGTGGGGTGTGAGGCCCTGCGTGCGGCCAGGACAGGAGCGCAACTCTAGGCACCCCGCAAAACTGACTCCTTCAAGGAAGAAGTATTCGGAGGGTGGAATTCTTTTAAGTCTCTCAACAGGGAAAGCAATCCAATGATGACAGGAAGCAGTGGTTTTGTTTGATGAAAGTATTCCTATCACAAATTACCCTTTTTACAGTGGGAGAACAGCGATGACTTGGCGAACTCGGCTACTCTCTAATTTGTTTCCTGTGTGAGTCTATCTCCCTCTCGAGGTGGGGACCCCTCCACGCTCGGTACCGGGGCAACGCCTGCAGAAAAGGGATGCTCATCTGGCGGGAGGGGGACACCGGCTGCAGGCCAGGCCTCCCACCACTCTCTACCCCTAACCTGCCTTGTTCATCAGAGCGCTGGGCACAGCCAGGCGCATGTCAGTGCCTGGTTTGTGTACCCGTTCACAGTCTATCTCCCCTCACCAGCCAGGAAGCCCCACATTGAAGCTTCTGTAAATGATTTTTCAGCTAGAGACTCAGTGTCTCTAAGCCCAGCGCATGGCAGGTGCCCAGCGAACCATCATCTCCTCTGCAAGGTAAACCAGCATGGTAGATGCAGCATCCGCCCCTCACAGATGGGAGCTTTGAAACTCAGGCAGGTGTGCTGAAGGTCACACCTCTACTCTTTCATCTTTTGTTTTTAAAACTATCACTGTCTAATTCTGCATGCCCTACAGTAGTTCAAATCCAACTGGAGCCTGTACTTTGACCGTGCCCTGGCCTTACTGGTTTGTGTGTTGCTTTGTCCTGTAAATATTGCAATACTGCTGCTTAAACACACACGCAAGGTTAGGTGATTTTGTGCAATTTGTAATTAAAATCTTGGTTGCTCCCATAGACTGAGCACCGTTTAATAGATAGAAAGAAATACTAGAGCCATCGGATGTCCTTTCAGCTTCATTCTTTGCCCATTGTGCTCAGCACTTAGGCCGGGTGCTCAGCACTTAGGCCGGGTGCTGCCCATGCTTTGTTCTTGGCCGAGTTGAATCCAAAATCTGCAAGAAGGTAATTTAAGAAACTTAAGATAGTCTTGCAAGAATTTTACAATCGTAGAGCAATTCCTTTTTTTCTCTCTAAATGTGACTTTTAAAAATTTTCTCAGGAACAGACTGACCTTCTACCATGATTTTCAAAAATATAATATTTTAGATATAAAAAAACCTAAATGACTCTAACACACCTACTTTCAGTTGGAAGCACATATCACCAGTCTTCGTTCACACACACGCAGGAGCACACAGGCACACACACTTGGAAGCACATAGTCCCAGTCTCCGTTCACACACACGCAGGAGCACACAGGCACACACACTTGCTTTTAGACATGCTGCTTTCCACACATCTCCAGCGTGCGTTGCGTGTTTCCTAAGAATCTCACCGTTGTTAACATTGCCTGCCTTAGTAGGTACTGAGGTCTCACCAAAGCCATCACTCATTGCTGTATTCTTCCCATGAACGTTACCTGCCATTCTGGAGTGATAAACACTATACACCCAATTAAATACTATGCTGCTCATACAGAGGACTGGCTTTTGAAAGTATCAAAGCTGCAAAGCTAACAGAAATTTGCCAGAGCCTGTGAGGCAGTGGGAGGCGGGCAGATTCGTGGGGCCTGGAAGTGTGGAAGTGTCTGGGGCCAGGGGCCTGACCACATGGCACCTTCTTTAGAGATTTTTAACCAATCCATCCTTGCTAGGGAACTCCAAAATGTTGTGCCTTTTTTTGTTTGTTTGCTTTGGTTTGGGTTTTTATTTTTTGTAAACTGAACCCCCAGTGGGACACCAATCCTGGGCAGCCCTCATTGTTGAGAAACAGAACCAATGAGTGAGAACTCGGCCCCTCGCAGACATTCACAAACATCTGTCTTTCAACCCTGAAGAAATGTGTGGGTCTAAGCTACCTTGTGTGGAGATAGGTCTTTTTACAGTTTTGCCTCCTCTTGTACATGACATCATGTCTCATTTCAGTAGTTGTAACACCTCTACTAAATGCAAGAAGATAAATACGATCCCTCTGATTAAACAACCAAGAATACCAGGTTTTCTATGGCATTTATTTTCTGTACTTGCTGCAAAAGGGAAACGTGACTTCTGATTCCAGACTTCACATACACCCAAGGTGGAAGTGGTCCTTCAGAGGAAAGGAGGGTGGGAGGGCCATAAGACATTTAAAGTAAAAAACACTCAGAAACTAAACCCTAATGTTGACATGGGTTCAAAAACGGACCACCCTCAAGAAGGAATCAGCTCCACAGGCATTTGGCATCCGAGTGTAAGGGATCCCGGAGGACTCTGCCTCGTTGAGGAGTCTGTCCTGCTCCACCCTGTGCCCTGATGGCTCTGCCTGGGGCTAGCACCCTGTGAGAGGGCACCTTACCACGCAAACAGATGGTGCACCAGTGGACCTGGAGCTGGCTCCCAAGTGTTTCTTGAAGGCAACTTCCCAGCTAGAGACGGTCTTGTTTATTTGAATGGAACTGTGCTTACAGACTACATGGAATATTTGCCCACGTGCTCTATGAATGTTCATTTCATGTTTTTAATCAGCTGCTTGGAATGAAGATTGGACCAAGCACAGTAGAGGTGATGCTCAAAGAGTGGAAACAAGGTTCTCCGAGGCCCACCATGGCACTGGCCCCGCCCGCCGTCCCACAGGAGGCTTAGTGGGAAGGCCCTTGGCCTTGGCTGCCTGCCCTTCCCCAGCTGGGGTCTCTCTCAGCACTTCGGCTTCTCTTGTTTCAGCCTTCATGCTCCTGCTGGGCTGAAATGCCCAGGGAGGGGCCTCACACGCCTCTCAGCTGTGACTCCCTTTCCTTTGTCTCCCCAGCTGTGATCCTGGAAGGAAAACACTCACCTTAGAGACCAGCACCTGCTCTGTGCCCTGCTCTCTTGCAGGTAAATCAACTATGCCCCTCCCATCAGAATCAGAATCAGAATCATCTTTTCTATTGACAGACTGGCCCTTTCATTTTAGTTTCCCCCTTTAGTTTTTTTTTTTTTTTTTTTTGACAGTCTCACTCTGTCATACAGGCTGGAGTAGAGTGGCACAATCTCGGCTCACTGCAACCTCTGCCTCCCGGGTTCAAGTGATTCTCCTGCCTCTGCCTCCCTAGTAGCTGTGATTACAGGTGCTCACACTACCATGCCTGGATAATTTTTGTATTTTTAGTAGAAACGGTGTTTCACCATGTTGCCCAGGCTGGTCTCAAACTCCTGACCTCAAGTGATCCACTACCTGCCTCGGCTTCCCAAAGTGCTGGGATTACAGGTGTGAACCACTGCACCTGCCCTTATTTTATTTTTTTGTAAGGTTAGACACAGGAGGAGAAAGATGGGATATATGGCATACACTTCAGGGAAATATTAGGATTGATGATATCCAGGATGATGAAATTTTTTGCTTTGTTTTAGGGATTTTGAAACATATTAAGAAATTGGAAGTAACTGAGTTCAGCGTGCCACAGAGCTTGATGATGTGCACATCCTTGGGCATTGATTTTGTGCCTTTGCCACGTACACAGGTAAGAGTCAAAAACAAGAAAAGATATGATCGCTGCCCTGAATGATTCTGCAAGTTGCATTTGCTGCAGGAAGAAGGCATTTCTCCATCACACGTGGTTGGAATGTTCGGTATTTATGGTTTTGCTACTGTTTTCCCATCTCTTTCTTTCCTGTGTAAAATACCGACTTCCTGAGACCGAGTCGCTGCCTTTTAAAGCCAGTTCTTTCAGGTGCCCACAACAGCTCAGGCCTGGAAACACAAGCGTCTCACCAGCCGCCTCCACCTTCCGTGGCCTCCCTCACCCCGCCCTCCACACCCCACACTTTCCTCTTCTGAGAAAGTGGGAGAGGCACTGCGCCCACCAAGAGGAGTCCACTTGAGTCCACGAGTGGTCATGCCCTGGCTGAAGGCCCTGGGGTTCTTCACCTCCGGAACCTCAAAGGTGCAGTCTCTGAGGTGGGAGAGGGCTGCAGGCCTGTCCTGTCGTTTGTCGAGTGGATGAAGAGATGCCCCCGGAAGTGATCTGTAAGTTACAATTGAAAGGTAAGCAGAGACAAATGTGCATTATCCCTCCAGATCCTTTCTAGGATGGAAACACAGGCTCTTACTTTCTCTTTCCTTGTGTGCAACATTGAGTCATTTGTTTGTTCATCTTTCATTCATTCATTCAATAAGCAGGTATCACATATCACCGTTGAGTTCCGCCTTGGAAGCTGCAAGCCCGTGGGTTTGGGACCCTGCCCTACAGGTGGGCACCTTCCCAAGACCTCAAAGGAGCTCCTGTCAGTGCTGACAAAGAGGGGGTCTGATCAACCAATTCCTGATGAGGTCTTAATTAGTGGTAAGTACTTAATGCTCCAGGGTGTTAAAAATGAAATTTAGGGAGCATGAGGGTGCTTCCTAGTACAACCCAAAAGGCTTTCTAGGACTCACTCTGTCTACATTTAAGCCTGGGTTTTTAAAATACATGAACATTTTAGTAACTGCACGCTTTCATTCATTAGAGTGCAAGGTGAATCCTGGTCTGTTCTACAAAGATGAGAAGCTCACAGTCGTAGGAGACAGTGTGGCCAGGTATGATTGTAAAAAATTAATTGTGAGGCAGTTTTTACAGACACCGTAACCTGGAAAGCTAGAGGAGGAGGAAAATAAAAATGGGGTGGGGCAACCTCAGAGGGAGGATGCCCGGGTTTAGGAGAAGAGGAAAGAGCCTTCCGGATGGGGAACCGGCATTATCAGCAAAGGCACAGACGTCTGCAAGAGCCATGCAGGTTCACAGGAGGGAGAGTGAACCCCGGCTTGATAGAGGCAGGAATACGGAGGCCAGGACCTGCTCCTGGGGGCTGCCTGCCCTGTGCTGAATGATTTATATATGGAATCTCATTGATTTCCTCTCATGTTTTAGAAACCCTTACGCCCATTTTAAGGATAATGAAACTGTGGCTGGATGAAGCTAATGAAGGGATTTAAACCATGTCCAGAACGTGCGTCCACCCTGGCAAGTTGCAGGCAGGACTTCTGCTCCCGCCCTCTGGATCTCCACGCGGGGCACCTCTAACAGGTCCCTGAGCTTGGTGTGTGATCCCAACGTGGGGCACGGGTTCTCCCCAGCCTGGCACAGAGGAGCCTGCTGCCCGCAAGGACTTCCTCGCCCAGCCAGGCTTGGGCTGTTCGTGAAGCGGGAAGGAGCCCCGCAGCCCGGCACTCACACTGAGAAGACAATGCACATGCGCCTACTTTCCCGTTAAGGGGACACTGAGGCCACAGCTGTGGAAGGTGAAGCAGAGACAGACGAAGCCTGGAATGGCTGAAAGGCACTTACGGCAGAAGCGCAGACGGAGACACAGGGTCAGGCTCATGCACGCGGCTTGGCCGTGTCCGGCTCAGGGCCTGGTCCTCATGGCCCAGGGGGCAGCTGGAGAAACAGCACAGGCGTCGTGGCCACGCGTCCTTCCCCAGCCTGGCACAGCAGGCCGTATGAGTTTATCTGTAATATCAACTACGATGTTAACTGTTTTATTTATATGCAGTTTTATCATACGAGTCCTTAAAAGGAGATTCACTGTCGCCTCAGAGCACCCTGGTTTTTATTAATCTGGTCGCATTCGGAGTCGTTTAGTCAGCCGCCACTTCCTGCTTAGACGCACCATCCACAGGTGTGTCATTAGCGTGGAGGAATTCGAGCAGGACTGGGTTCAACTTCGCGTTTCCCATATTACTGAGGATGACTCATTTCTCATTAAAAGGTAAGCAAGACTGGATGACCCAAATTAAAACAAAAATCAACCGCAAATTAACTGAGTTCAAGAGAGAATGTGGCCTGCTAAGCTTCACATTGTGGAGAGTGTGCCGGTTTTCAGAGTTGTCCATGGCACAGTCTGAAAGACGGCATCTCATCTCATCCAAAGGGAAACCAGGCCCGCTCCTCCCCTTCTCTGACCAGACATTTCCAAGGATTGCCTTCCGGAGAGAATGGTGCTTCTTTCGTTCGTCCTGTGTGGGACAAATGGCTCTCTGGAATGGCTGTTCCCCGTGATCTGTGATGCTGGTGTTCTCTTACCGCATTCTACCCACTTGGCATTTTTGTACACTGAGAACAGGGATTTGAAAGACTAGGGAGTACGGGAAGACATAGTATAGACTTAGAAAAACTCCTCATGTCTTTTTAAATAAACCGAATGCAACTATGAAACATATGCCTCTGAAAGAACCAGCCTCTTTCAAATCTTTGTTTTCTCTCTTCAATAGACCATCATTGGTGAGGATTTTTCTTGCGATGAAACATATGGCTAATTGATTTCTCTGATGAAGAACCTTTTCTGCTATCATGAATGTATGTGTTCATGTACATACACGCATGTATTGTGCATGGCTGCATGGATGTACACACGCGACTATGGGCCTGGGTGTTCACAAGGGAGCTGGGCCTGCCTTGCTTGGGGTTCGATCCCTCTCGCAGCACAAGCCAGTTGACAACAAGAGGGGCCTGGCTCCTCGTCTTCGCTCTGGAGAGCACTGCCCAGGGGGCTCTGATAAAAAATACCAGTCCATCCACGGCTCAGCTTTTCCATTAGTGACGTGAGGACAGCAAAACCCACCCAGGCTGCATGTATGAGGCTTAAGAATGCAGGGGCTGCATATCCCACACCCACATGTGTGACGTCCCATTTCCTGGTTAGGACGACTGAGAATTTCCAAATGCTGCTGTGACAAGCAGGCCCATCACGCCCTTCAGTACCTGGCGGGTACACGATGGGCTCCTGTCTGCCTGGAAACCAAGAGAAGGCCTGACCGGCGTGCCCTGGGGGCCTGGGCAGTGTGGCGGAGGCCCGCCAACCCCACCGATGAGCTCTGTGGGAGTTTATGTGAAAAGCTAAAAGCAATTTTGCTTATAAAAAGTTCTAAATTACTTCTGATAGTCCAATTAACTTACCAAAAATATATGCATACATAATGGGAGATTCAACTACCTTCTGATGAAAGAAGCTGCAAATTCTACACCCAAAGGCTCAAGAGTCCTGAACTGGGCTGTCATGAGCCCCCTGCTGGGCAAGGAGCAGCTTAATTCTTTCCTCCATAGATGCTGGGTGCTGGATGCTAGGTGCTGGATGCTTGAGGTGGGGTGTTGCATGCTGGGGGCTGGGTGCTTGGGGCTGGATGATGGATGCTGGGTGCTGGGTGCTGAATGCTGGGTTCTGGATGCTTGGGGCTGGGTGCTGGATGCTAGGTGCTAGATGCTTGGGGTGGGGTGTTGCATGCTGGGGGCTGGGTGCTTCGGGCTGGATGATGGATGCTGGGTGCTGGGTGCTTGGGGCTGGGTGATGGATGCTGGGTGCCGATTACCTCAGAAAACACTGTGGACCTGAGGGAGCCCTGGATCCCTGAGACCTATTAATATCTGATATTATTATTTAATTTGCTCTAAAAGGTAGTCTTATTCCAAAGTAGAGCAATTAGATGCACAGTGGGTGGACATAGCTCTGTACCAATGACTTTCTTTTGGAGAAGGACAGTGCCGACAATTAAATGTAAGAATAGCATTGATGAAAACAATTATGAACATTGAGGGAAGAGTCAGGTGCCCTCCTGGCCGTGTGAAGGCTCAAAGTGCTGAACTTTGGTCCTCTCACTCCTTAAATTGAGAGAATAGTGTTGGGCCAGGATTGATGTCACTGCTTTCCCTTTAAGAATCACATTTCAGAAAAGGGCAGCCACGCCAAGGCTTTCTTACACTCCAGTCGATTTGTGAGCCACACTGTTCTACTTTTCCACTCCTTACTGTACCTGGCTGCCCTATTCATCTTTCTCTATGAACATTTGCTGTTTAAGGCAATTGGGCCCAATGAGGCAGAGCCCGGCTGTGATCGGCTCATCCATCTTTATTTGATCCTTGGCTGACACAGCAGCTGCCCTGTGACATAGGTTAGGTCACTGAGTGGCCATTACCCCCTCGTTTGCACACTCTTGTTCCCCCTAACCACCTTCCTGAAGTCAAATCCAGATGATTTGTGCCAATTTCATGGGGGCACAGACTGGAACATGCGCTCACTTTCTACATGGCCGAGTTTACACAATCTCACACACACGTCTCCGGCTTATGTGACCGTCAAAACGCGGATTTTCCCTTCCTTCGTACGGGCTTGGATAGAGCTCTGAGGGCTGGAGTTCTCAATTATAGAATGTCATGACACCGCCGCACGATTTTTTACAGTAATTTCACAGTGTCACTTCATGATTCTTTCAGGGCTGCTTTGAACCATGACTGAAAGAACAGTGGCCCTCCGAGTGTCAGGGGACGCGCTGGAACCCGAGTGGCGGAGCCGTGGGCGGCCAAGAGTCAAGCGCACACACGCAGGAGGCGGGCACGTCTCAGAGGTCAAAACCTGGCCGAGAGGAGATGCAAAGGGTTAAGAGAAAATCTGCAGACGTTTTTTCCTGCTAAATTTTGATATTGGAAACACATCTTCCAAACGGCATTTTTTTAGCTCTGAGTTTCTCTGGTGAATACCTGTTTAAAATGAGAGCCTCCAGGAGGCAGGGTGGGTGGGGAAAGAGAGACCAAGACAGAGAGAGAGAGAGAGAGAGAGAAAGAGAAAGAGAGAGAGGAAGATTGGGAGAGGGACAGAGAGAGAAATAGAGAAACGTTTACCATTTAAAAAGGGGGTAGGGCTTTATATATTTCTCCCCCAAAATATCTTCAGTCGTCACAACAAAGGTCACCATCATTTCTAAATCCTTTATATACCACATAAAATGACTTTTACTCCAAAAATCCTCCCCGAAGGATAGTTTGTGGGTTTTTTTTTATTATCATGATCTGCGTGGCTCACTCTTTTTGCCAATATTGTGACCAAATATAAAGCAAGAGTGTCGATTTTTTCAACCCAGAAATACATTTTGAAGTCCATCATGAAGCAGGTTGGAAGGTGCCGTTTTGAAAGCTAGACCTCCTGGGAGGCTTTCTGACCCTCATAATGCAGGCAAATTCTTACATTACTGCATGATAGACATGGTAGGCTTAGGGACAGGTCCCCATTAGGAAATCACTATGTCTTCAGGCAAGTTTTGCCCTTGAGTTGAAGAGGGATGAAAACAAAGTAAAGTGGTTGTCACAAACTGTTTTGATCTTTAAACTTATTTGACTGTGGCACAGCAAAGCCTCAGCTTCTGCAGCCATGTTAGAGACATCGCTGCAGAAAATAGTCTCACTTTAGAATATGCTTTCACCCTTCAATGTTAATAACTGCTCCTCAGCAAGACCTGTGATTTCCTTCTCTCTTCCTCTGATAGCCAGTCCCTTGCTCCTCAAATCATGGACCAGGGGCCATCATCAGCATGGGCTCCACCCAGGGGCTGATTTGACTTGCATGGTCTCAGGCCTCCCCCAGATCTGCAGCACCAGGGTGGGAATTCTGAAAGGATTTCAACTCTAGGGACCGCTGGTTCAGAGAACTCTGATCTTGCAATAGAGTCCGTACGCACTTAGCACCTGAAATGTTCCCTAGTCCACATCTCGAGTTTGGAGCAGCAAGAATCTTCATGGTGAAAGCTGCCATGACATTCTTCTGCTTGCCTGGCAAACTAAGGAGACTCTTGGCCATAACCTTTTATAAAGTCTTAGCTCGTCTTATCTAAATCCTTCTATTATCAAAGTTAAACTCTTCCAGCTCCCTGATCCTTTCCTATTATTCTCTGAAATGTCCATCTCTTTTCTGCCCAACCCACTCAGCCATGTTCTTATGGGCCCAAGAAGGTAAGAAAGAAAGATACTGGGAAGGGATAGATGTGCAAATGATGAATGAGCTTTCGTTTGGATTTAAAAGCCTGTGTCATTAAGGAAAGGGTGGATTTCTGGAATCAAAGAGGGTGAGTGTTCTGTGCATTCTCCCCAATCAGCTGCGATCTCTACATCAGCAACCGGCCTTGTCACATTGTGTTTGAATATGTGTGTGTTCTTCTTTCAAACATGGCTGGGCCTTAGGGTTGTTTTTTTTTTTGGTTGTTTGTTTTTTGCTTCTATTTTTGCTTTATTTTGCATTTCCCCATAAATGTATGTAATTAAAAAATAGAATCCACTTGTTGAGAGTAAAGTAGTCATCTCATTCCACACTTCCTCCCACCACGGCACCACTAATTTATCGTGCAATCCTAGCATTTTTATTCTTGCTGAGATGTGGATAACCTTTTTACATTGAAAACTCCTTTGCAACCTTACAAGAAAAGCCAATTAATCAATTAGAATATCATTCTCGAATTACAGTGGAATTATGTGTCCCCTCTGCTGAAAACCATTGAAACTTGCGGTGCATTACTTCAATTAAGAATACTTAATTTCCAAATGGCACAAATGAGCAAAGCATGAGTCATAGCACACGGCTCTCCTTAAAAGCCATCAGTGCTAATGGTTTTGAAACCTGTATAAACCTGATACGTGCTTCATTTATATGGCAAGCTAAATCCACGTAAGGGTGTAATATTTCTGCTTATGTACACAAGGCTTTATGTGGTGCTCCCTGCAATTGCACAAAAATGTAGATGGCTTTTTGCATGCCCTGCTTCTTACGTGAGGTGTGGCGAGTAGATAGGATCGTGCTTCGCTATCACCCCACACAAAGTGCACTTAGGCCGATCGATCGGAATGCTTCATAACATTCGAAGTTATGATAATCAGAGATTAGGGGGAAACAGCAAATTCCAGTGTCTGGAGAAGTATTTTTCATTGCTCCTGTATCTCACTATCCCATCTGCCTGGCTTTATTCCAGACTCTTCATTTGACCCCTTTGCACTGCCATCCAGCATGAATGAGTTTTGCTAGAATGAGGGGTGTGGAAACCAGTTTCTCAAGCCTCCCAAAGCTCCAGGTTTTATTCTTGTCTTGAGTTCTTTGTATCCAGGCTGTTCATTAGAATCCTGGGAGAAGATGACCCTGAGATAGCAATAATGGTGCGTTCACCATGGGGAGCCCACACCTGTTCCCTGCAAAGGACCCACATGTTTCTTCTCTGGCCTACTTATCTCCCCCAGTATAGAATACCACCTTTTACACTTCCTCGGCAAATTGCTTTAGTGCATTAGATCGATAGTACTAAAATCTAAGTCCATATTAGACTTCAATATTAATGTTTGTGTTAACCATAAACACAAAATACAAATACTGATGTTTATGAATTAGTGTTACTAATATTAATTTTTGTGTTAACCATGAACTTCTATACTAATTTCAATACTAATTAAATACTAATTTTTGTGTTAACCACAAATGCATTATGAAGAACAGTAAGAGAAAATAAGAGGATATGGAAAATCAATATTAGTTCTAAATGTTCTTATTTTGTTCCCAACGTTTTGTATCAAACTGTTTATAGCATATGATTTTTCCTCCCAAAGTACTGCCTTCATGCTCTAGAAAAATTTGCTTTCAATTTTCAATAATCAAATGGTAAATTTTGTTTAAATTAGCTTCTTTAAAAATGAAAACACTTGATTCTGGGAAGATTTTTCCTAATTGGCTAAATAAAGACAATTTTACTGAAATAAAAACATTCTGTTCTATCAAAAGGTCTTAGGTTTGGGCAACAGGGAGCTAGTCCCCTGGGAACGTGGGACAAGTGCACATCCTGAGCCCATCCCAGAAACACTGAAGTCCAGTAAGGCTCTCACCTTGGTTCTGGACTTAGAAACATCCTTGAGCTCACCACAGGCTGCAGCTTGCTCGTAGCCACTCTCCCCCAACTCATTGATGGCTCCAGCTGGGCACTGCTGCCTCCAAGTGACGCGAGGGCGGGGAGAGTTTCAGGAAGCATGCACTTGGCCTGTTAACCAGCACTGGAAAGAGTAAGTCATTGCTGAAATGTATTTACCAAGGTGGGACACTGGATTTATTTTATTTATTAGGTTTTTAAAAAAAATCTTGTGGAACTTTTTTTTTTTTTTTTTTTGAGACGGAGTCTCGCTCTGTCGCCCAGGCTGGAGTGCAGTGGTGGGATCTCGGCTCACTGCAAGCTCCGCCTCCCGGGTTCACGCCATTCTCCTGCCTCAGCCTCCCGAGTAGCTGGGACTACAGGCGCCCGCCACTACGCCCGGCTAATTTTTTGTATTTTTAGTAGAGACGGGGTTTCACCGTTTTAGCCGGGATGGTCTCGATCTCCTGACCTCGTGATCCGCCCGCCTCGGCCTCCCAAAGTGCTGGGATTACAGACGTGAGCCACCGCGCCCGGCCGTAACTTTTAAATATGTAGATATTTGGCAGATAAGCCTCCCTTTGTACTTTACCCTGGGCCCTGCAAAAATTAAGGGCTGGCCTGACATTTGGCGGCCTAGGCTCGACCTTAAGTACTTTCTGTGTCTCAGCACTGCATTAAAACCCATTGTACATAGTCCTTTTCATGATGTATTTAGACTTGAACATGATATCTGCATCTGTAATGCAGGGCAGGCTAGGGGATTCCTGGTATTATTTAAAAATCTGGACGACAGTAACCTTGAGCTTTATTTTTTGGGAAGGGTATGGCTCTGATTCAGTGGATCCTTGGAAGCCATGTGACTTTGGGCTCTAGGACTGACTGGCCTTGGGTTAGTGAAGAGGGTGAATAATTTGCCTTCCTTTTCTGAATCTTCCTTTGTTTCCTCATCTGTAAAGCATGAGCATTAAGTGTGAGAAGGCAGTGCATGCTTCACATAGATTGGCTGCTCCACGAACTCATTTGTTTCTACTTTGAGCCTTGTGTGTGTGTGCTGCGTTCCCTCCATGCCCTCAGGAGACATTCAGCCTTAACCACATGTGGGCCACACCCAGGCTTCTGGGTTTGGGGTTTCATTTTGTTTTGTGTTTGTTTGTTTTTTGAGACAAGGTCTCCCTCTGTCACCCAGGCTGGAGTACAGTAGTGCAATTTCAGCTCACTGCAGCCTCTGCCTCCTGAGCTCAAACAATCCTCCCACCTCAGTCTCCTGAGTAGCTGAGACCACAGGCATGTGCCACCACGTCCAGCTACTTTTTGTGTTTTTTTAGTAGAAATGGGATCTCACTGTGTTGCCCAGGCTATGGCTTCTGTTTTTGAGAGTATTTAATAGTGTGTTTTAAAATGTGAGTAGTGATATTATTCTAATGGCAGTACCAAAGACCCTTTGATTAGAAGTTGATGTAGGTGAAATGGTGAGAACGAAGTCAGTGCTGCTATTTCTGTATGAGATGTGATTGTTTACATTTCATTTGCCCCGGATGGTGAGGACCTCGGTGTAAGAACTAACCACAGGGAATGAGAAACGTGGGGAGACATTTGGTGAACTTAGTTGGAAATACTATGTTAATGGCATTTCCAAATTATATGCTCAATGTATTTTTCTCTGACCTCTAGACTTCTTCTCCAATAAAGGACCTCTACATTTAAAACGATGGGTCTATTTGGTAAGGTAAATTAAAGGGGCACAACTTGCCTGTGTTTCTAGAATATATTGACACTCTTTGGTGTATTTATTGTTAATTGTTTTCAGATTAACACTTGGACTGCTTACTTTAACTGTACAGATTCTGACTTTAAAAAGTGTCTTGAAGTTGACCAAACATATCAAACGTATTATTTGATAAAATAACTAGAGCAGTATGTAAGAACAGACTTAGTGAGGTTTTCTCACGTTCAGAGCACTGCACATCTTGGATTCTGCCATCCCTATCGCACAAGAATGATACCTGGGTCTCCTGGGGAAGGCTGTCTCATTTCCTGCCTGTGAGTGATAAGAGTGATGCAGGTGGGCAGGTGAGTCCTGAAATCAGGGCTTAGCCCAGGAGGATTCTCGCCTTTGCCCAGGGAAGAATCCAAGGGTGAGCCCGTGGTGTTAGGCAGGAACCTTTCATTAAGCCAGAGCTGCTTTCTGCAGAGCAGGACAAACTCACAGGAAGTGTGCCAGAGTCCGCAGCTTATGGGCTCCTGACGCCTATATCCACACTCTACTTATACCTGCTTTCAACTGCATGCAAATTAAGGGGTGGATCCATGCAAATTGAAGAGTGAGTTAAGGACTCCCTAGGAAAGGGCAGCCCCTTCTAGGTTGTTGCCACTGAAAGCAGTGATAACTTCTGGGCTGTTGCCATGGCATTGGTAAACTGTCATGGCGCTGGTGGAAGCATCTTTATGCCAGCCAGCAGTGAGGGCAGCCAGGGATTGCTTTGAGCAGCATCTGCTGGTTCCCATGGCTTTCTTCACTTTATCTTGTCTGGACCGGACCCTGCTTGGGTCAGCAGGGCTGTGACCAGGAAACACGTCCTGCCAGTCTCCTATGTCAAAACCATTTATTACTTCCCATATCTTGGGGAAATAGTGTGCATTTAGGGGGAGCATGGATTCTGGAACACAGCAAGACTCAAGTCCTGCTGTGGTAGGTTTGTGACATCAGGTGGACGTCACCTTGTGGAACCCCGTATTCCTTGCCTGTGAAGTGATCATCGTAAAGTGATCTGTCTTGGGGGTTGTGAATATTAAAATGCATTCCTGGTCTCCGTGCAGGGACTCAGTAAACACTAGTTTGCTTTCTCTTTCCCTTAAGTTGCCAGAAAACTCTTTTCAGATTGTAATAAAGAACCATCCAAAGTAGGTTATTTTATGAGGTTGACAGATCCTATTACTTAGCTTTAAATCTCATCTTAATGAGGAGGAAGAATTCTACAAAAGTGGGCCCAGTCAGGTTCTTCCATTGTGTTTCTAATTAGAATTTAAGTTGCTTTTAATGTCAGTTCTAAAGAACCCTTGGTGGAAAATTAGTAGTTACCCGTTGACATAAAATGCAAGATGATGCCTGGACAGTCTGAATCACAAAACATTTTGCCCTTAAATCCCAGGAAATGTAAGCTGCATGGGGTGGGAGGCGGGTGGTGTGGGGCATCTGTGGATTAGGTAGTTCATTGTGATTGAATATCCTGGTTAAAAATCAAACTAACCAACATTTTCCAGAGGAAAATAGAGCACATTTCTGTGGCCCTGACACCTGATCATTCCTGCCTCTGACACTGCCTGCAGCATCCTTTCTTCTTTACCATTACTGATGTGAATCTCCAAAGCCCCTGTGCTTCTTTCTTGCCGTCTCCTAGTGAAAAACATCTCTTGCTTATTAAAAAGACAGCTTCATTCAGCCCTGCTCAAGAAGGATCTTGGTTAGAGCTATCTTTTAGAAATATAATAGGCACAAACCATGAGCTCTTTCTTTCTTTTTTTTTTTTTGAGAAGGAGTCTCACTGTGTCGCCCAGGCTGGAGTGCAGTGGTACGATCTCGGCTCACTGCAAGCTCCTCCTCCTGGGTTCAAACCATTCTGCTGCCTCAGCCTCCCAAGTAGCTGGGATTACAGGTGCCCGCCACCACACCTGGCTAATTTTTTTGTATTTTTAATAGAGACGGAGTTTCACTGTGTTAGCCAGGATGATCTTGATCTCCTGACCTTGTGATCCACCTGCCTCGGCCTCCCAAAGTGCTGGCATTACAGGTGTGAGCCACTGTGCCTGGCCCAACATGAGATCTTTCTTAAATGAGCATTAAATTACTGTACATCAATACTCTTTCCTGACAAAGGGGTAAATGTGAAATGAAACTTAATATTTGCCCAAAAATAAGTGTGAAAAAAGAAATAAGAATCACCCAAACCTAAAGTCTGAATGCTTCCTATCTATAGACTGATGGGTTAGAAAAGCACTAAGCTCTGGAATTAGTTTGCTAAAACTTTATTTAGTCTCCTGGGCCGTAGGAGCATTTGGAGAAGCGTGCTGCATTTGTGACTGTAAACAGTACAGTCAGGAGAATTGATTTTAATTAGGGTAAAAGTTTGTTCATTTGTTTTGTTGTTGAGTCTCTATGAAAGATAGCAGGTATAGTGGGAAAGGCACAGAATTTTAAAAAAGACCCGAAGGTTAGAATCTTGGCTATTTGTTCGTGTGACTTTAAGCAAAGAATTGGGCTTTTCTTAACTCCAGTGAGTTCATTTATCAGCCTGGGATTTAAAAGCAGACATTTGGTGAGGATTAGAGATAATTACATTACTTGCCTAGCAAAATTTTTGGCAGCCAATGATTATGAAATATTACTTTGCGAGAATGCCTTGACAAACACTGAAATTGTGGCTATTTCAAAATAGTCATATAATTTTTTAAAAAATTGGCCAGATGCAGTGGCTTATGCCTGTAATCTCAGCACTTTGGGAGGCCAAGGCAGGTGGATCATGAGGTCAGGAGATCGAGACCATCCTGGCCAACATGGTGAAACCTTGTCTCTACTAAAAATACAAAAATTAGCTGGGTGTGGTGGCATGTGCCTTTAGTCCCAGCTACTGGGAAGGCTGAGGCACGAGAATCACTTGAACTTGGGAGGCAGAGGTGGCAATGAGCTGAAATCATGCAACTGCACTCCAGCTTGGGCAATAGAGCGAGACTCCAAAAAAAAATTATAGCATTATTTACAGTATGAAAGTTAATAAAGGTTTTACAGAAACATCAAATGGCTAAACATTACAAAAACTTAAGTCCAAATAACCCAAGTTAAATTTTGGCAAACACACACGTAACTAGGGAAGATGGCATGAAGATTCCATGGACTTTTAGGAAGTTACGTGACCAAAGACACAGGGTCTCCAGATGGCAGATCTAAGCCAAGAACAAGTCCTGCTGTCCTTAGAGGGTGTCCCAAGCCTCCCACCCTGATCCTTAGGGCCTGGCTCTTGGGTTTGTGACTGAGGCTGCTTTGGGGGTTCAGTGAGGCAGGTGCAGGATTCCCTCACCACCATCACACCAGTGTCTCCACCATGGAAGATGATGAGGCTCTTTGGAAAACACACATGGAATGGCATGTAGGAGATGAGTGGGGAGGAGCGTAGGATGTGCCATTGGGCTCACTGGGGTGAGGATGCCTGGGAGACCTCAGTAGGCACACACATAATGATGGGGGTGGGGGCCAAGGCCGAGGAAGAGACATGGAGTGTCATCAGCAAATGGATGGGAGCTAAACTTGTGTTCCAACACAGGGTGGTTCCTGGAGAGTGTGAAAAGGGAAGAAAAAGAGAATTACACTATCTAGAAATCCTGTGTAAGGGGCAAGCAAGAGAGAAGAGCTCGGGAATGGCGTGGAGAAGGGCTAGACCAGGAAAGAGGGAAAAGGAAAAGAAGTGGAGGAAAGGACAGTCTCAAGGATTAGGGGTGTGTTAGTCCATTCTCATGCTGCTATAAGACATACCTGAGACTGGGAAATTTATAAAGAAAAAGAGGTTTAATGGACTCACAGCTCCACATGGCTGGAGAGGCCTCACAATCATGGCAGAAGGTGAAGGAGGAGCAAAGGCATATCTTACATGGCAGCAGGCAAGAGAGCATGTGTGAGGAAAACTGCCCTTTCTAAAACCATCAGATCTCCTGAGACTTATGCACAGTCATGAGAACAGCAAGGGAAAACCCACCCTCATGATCCAATTACCTCCATCGGGTCCCTCCCACAACACATGGGATTATGGGAGCTACAATTTAAGATGAGATTTGGGTGAGGACACAGCCAAACCATATCAAGGGGACACTCAATACATCCAGTGCTTTAGAGCTAAATGAAAGTATAACACCAAAGAGTATCTTTTTGTTCTGGCCCTTGGAGGAAGCCTTTGGTGACCACATGGAAATATTTCCCAAGGAGGTCTTGAAGCCACAATGTAGTGGGGAAGGATGGACCAGTGGGTGAGAAATTGGAAATGGAAATGGACTGTGCTGGCCTCAGCATGGAGAGCAGGGCAGGTGGCCTGAGGCGGATGCAACCCCACTGGGAATTATGGCTGTCTTAGTTTCAGGAACCGACATCAGCCCTGCAAAAACAATCTTAAGCCCGGTGCTATTTTAAATTTATCTATATTCACATTTTCAGTTCAGAAAATACAGAGAATGCTACCTTTGGAAAACACCACATTCTTCCATTTCATTTGGGTGTTATGTAGATTTGATAGATGTAAATGAATTAAATTTAAATGATTATTTAACATGTAACCAAACCATAACCTCAATTACTCAAATTGAAATAATGCCCTGACATTTTCCAAAACATCACCTCATTTTATTTTGAATTAATTTTCTTAAATATGTCAAGATAATTGAATGAGAGAAATATCACTGAAAAGAGCCTTTCCTTACATTTGAGGCTTTATTTTCCAAATATAAAATTCATATATTTCCTCAACAATTCATTAGCTGGGGACTCCCTCCAGGGATGGAAAGTCTAGCAAGGAAATTAATTCCTAAATGAGATGTTCCTGCAGAAACCTCTCCCATATGACACACAGAGCTATCGAGGAAAGACTCCCTCAAATATACGACACTAGTCAAGGAATTCACCAAAAAATGTGAATATTTATAAGGCAACTCTCAACAACAAGCAGCCAATCATCATTAGATCCTTTGGTTTTCATTATAATAAAATTAATCTTGATTAATTCATTCATTATTAATCTTGCATTCAAATGCAATTCCATAGAAACTGCATTGTGATTTAGCAATTAATTTACATGCCAAGATTGAGCAGCATTTCCTTGGTCCTCCGAGGCATAGCTCTCCCCTGTGTCGTGGAGTCAAAGGCAGGCCCAGAAGATCCATTTATCTGAAATATTCCAGGAAAATAAAAGCAAATGTCTAAGGTATAAATGCTAAAGCAGGGGGATGCCTTTCCTGCCTCATGTTCTGTAATCTGAAAAACAAAGACCCTGTCTCATCTGGTGTGTAGGAAAAGCACACACCTACTTCATATGTCCAAATAAGGTGCAGGTCTGCAAGCAGTTTAATTGAATTCTTAAAGCTTCTGATTTCTACTCATTGTCTGCATGAGCTTTCAAAGATGTGTTTTTGTATAAAAATTCTGAAATAACAAATTGTAAGCCCACAGCTTTCATTCCTCTCTTCGTGAAGTGGCCAAATACCATCGTGCACCACATGCGGACATTTCATAGACCACACATACGAGGGTGGTCTCAGAAGATGACAACACGATGTTTTCACTGCACCTTTCCTGTGTTTAGATCTGTTTATATACACAAATACTCATCACTGTATTTTAACTGTCCACAGTATTCAGTATAGTTACGTGCTGTGCTGGTTTCTAGCCTAGGAGCAATGGGCTACACCATACAGCCTAGGGGTGCCTGGACCATGCCGTCTAGGTCTGTGTACATGCTCTCTACCATGTTCACACGGTAACAAAATTGCCTAACAATGCACTTCTCAGGAGGTATCCGCATCATGGCGTGATGCATGTCTGTACATAGAGTATTTGGTATATACGTATAGTGTGGGTTCCCATCACGGGATGGGAAGTCCTAGGGCCGTATTGAAGAGAAGCTTCGTCAGTGAATCAGCAGATGAGGTTATAAAAAACTCTGATTTTTACCCAACAATGTTTTTATTATTTAGTTTCCCCAAACATAATTGTATATATATAAGAATTAAGAAGCACTGCAATAATAAGGGAAACCCGACTGACTAACTGATAGCTTTGGTTTGTGAAAATGTCTGCACATCTGCCAAAATACGAAGGTTTTAATTATTCATCCCCATCTCCACGGGTGGGTGCAGGGGGCAGCATCAGAACTCTCTGTTGCTATCCCTTTACGCTGTCCAAGATTTACTGATGTATATATCCAAAAAGGTGCTGGCATACTGTCTTCATTCTGTCCAAAAGATGAAGAAGGAAAAAACAAGTTTTCAAACAAAACTTGGAAGCAATCCCCACACTGAGGATGTTTACACAGGGTTTCTTGATTGCACAGGAAACAAATGTTCCCATTTGATCTGATCAGCCCTATTCCATCTAGCTAAGGCTATTGTGAAAGAAATGAGAACTTTCATCCACCTGCGAAAGGCATAAACCAGAATTTCCAGTTGAAAAGGGAAGTAAATGAGAGCTTCGGCTTCCAGGCTAGGAAATGCCCTCATAAGCTGCATCAGAATGTCTGAGTTCCTGTTGACTGTGTGGACCTGGTTTTAAGAACCGCCCTTCAGCACCCTGCAAAAGCATCTCTTCCCAGCAAACGCGGGTTGGCTTTCAGCATGGTGCCGCTTCCCGCGCATGGACAGGAGCTCAGGCGCCACACCTGTTAACTACCAATCACGCACCTCTCAATCAATCCCCCTCGGGCCAGCCCTGCAGAATGAAGATGTCAGAGCTGTAGCTATTAATGCCCTGAAGGACACGAAGATCAGTCGCATATTACAAAGAGAAATAGAAAGGGAACAAAATCGTCCTGACGTACATTTACCTAAAATATCCAAGAAATTGAGACAGATGTCATCAGCATAGACCCTCATTCGTGGGCCTCGGTTTTTCTGCTAAAGGACAGTGAGCCAGGCCTTTGCTTTGAGGCACTGTTGGCATCTCCTTGGAGCAGTTTCTTGAGTACTTCTCCACAAACAGGCCTTTATTGTGTTCGGGGTGGAAAGGATTTGCATCTTAAAGCACACGTATCAATGATTCAGTGTTTATAAGCAGTTTAAGTTGTCTATTTCTCCTTTTTTTCCTAAAAATTTTTCACTGTGCTGCCCTTCGAACTTTCTTGGAACCAACTTCAGCTATTTATTGATATCTTTTGAATTGTGACATCTGCCAATTTGATATAAAGAAATATAAAAATATATTAAATCTTATATATGCATACATTTTGTATACGAATGTAATATATATATGTGTGTGTACATGCATGTCTGTGCATGTGTGTGTGTGTATGGAGACATGGAAAGGAGCCTTAATTACACTGAAGTCTACTCAGAAGTGCAGTGTGATCTGAAAATCTTAGCTCATCACCTCCCAAATCTCCAAGAAGCAAAGGGAGCACAAAAGAGAAGCCCAAGCTCTGTAGGTGCCAGAAGGGACCTCGTGCCCCAAGGCATTCTCTGGGTCATTGCTCCTGCTGGCCACATCCCTGTCCTGTCTGGATGGAAGTCCGGCCCGTCGGTGTGTGAGCTGTGCAGCATCCACACTGTGTCTGATGCGAGTAAAATGGAGAATACACTCCTCCTTCATCCTGATGATCCCGGGGTCCCAAACATGGAACGCTGCATACACACGTCTGGGTATCATGCAAGGCAGCTGGAGGACCCATAGGGTGCAGACCCTGTGGCTACGTGGAGGCTGAGGGTCCCCACTTAAGGGCCATCCAGAGTGGCTGCCTTTTAGGAAAAGCTTGATTCCTTCCCTGCAATCTCTCGGTGTTAGGACGCGGCCCTCCAGTGCATCAAGCATTCTCTTTCTTACCTGTTAATCCTACAGGTCTCATTTTAGACAAAGATAATCACCCTGGAGATGAGGAAATAATGACATGAAGCTGGTGCTTTGTTCACTCTTTATAAAATGTCCATTAGTGACCAGAGCCATCCTGTCATGGACACCGTGTTGGCCTGAGATGCTCTCTTCTCCTCCCTCTGATTTTTTTTTTTCTCAATGCTTCCTTGAGAAACCGCCTTCATGTCCAAAGCTGCAACTGCCCCTATGGGGAGGACTCACACTTAGGCCAAAGCCCAGAGCCCCTTGCCATTCAGAACCATTCGTCCAGCCGCAGACTCCATGTCTCCACGCGTGGGCGAAGTGTGCTTCGAGTGCAGCACAGCTGCTCCTAAGGCCTGGCTTTTCCCTGTGGCCCTGGGTCTTCTCCAGGACCCCTTCTCGGGGACTGTACTCCCATCCGCCCAGGCGCCAGGCCCAGGAGTTAGGGAACATTGCAGTTGCCCATTTTCAAGGAGGTCAGAGGGGAAAGGAGGAGACCGAAGAGTCTGAGAAGTGGGCGGGAAACTCAGAGCACAGCCGCCCTCGCCACCCTCCTCTGACAGGGCGGCACTGCTCATTGCTGACGTTTCCCAGGGAGTAAGGACCTGGCCCAAACACCTGTACCCTGAGCTCCAGAGAGAGCTTCCCATCCACAGGGTTGGGGGGAGGGCAGTGAGGAGAACTGAAGGGCTTGGCTACTCCTGTAGAAGGAAAGGTCCACGGGGCTCTGAGAGAGAGAGAGCTGAGTCACTCTCAGCCAGGAAGGACGGGTGCAAAGGACAAAGTTGACGGTAGTTACGTGAGGCTCCAGAGGAAGAAGCTCCCAAGGGCTGCTCTCAGGGACTCATTCTTCCAGAGAACAAGAGTGAGCAGCTCAACAGTTGCATTCAGAGTTCAACAAACAGGATGACCTGAAGGCGGGGGGAGGCAGTGACATCGGAGGGAGGGCCAGGGAGGCCCCTCTGAGAGGGTGGGAGCCTAGTGGAAGAGAGGTCTGGTAAGGATCTCGTTGTGGAGCGTGAAGGGGGAGGGTCTGCAAGGAGAGGCGGCCACAGGTGCGTTGCTTTGCGGGATCAGCTGGGTTTGTGCAAACAGCGGTGGGAGATGGGGGCCAGGGTGATGCTAGGTGTATCCCACTGGTCTAAGCAACGGACATCTGAACGTTTCACAAAATTATGGCAGTGACTCAAACCTCATTCGTTCATTCAATGAGAAATATCAGATGCTTTCCAGGTACCAGATACCGCTCCACCTGTGGGTTTATGGTGAGGAACACTCTGACGTGTATTTTCCTCAATAATGTATCTGGAAACATCATGATATTATGAAGGCTATGTAAGCACATATGTATGAAAAACACTTTTGAGCCAAAACACCATACTGATAGTTATATATAACATTCATATAATATATATCACAATATATAATATGTATGCTATGTATTGCATTATTAAATATATATGCTACATATAATACATATATTATGGCATATTATGTATAGCATATAATATAGATAGCATAATCATAAATATATATAGCATATATATTATCTATATTGTGTTACTAAATATAACATTTTCCCAAGAAAATTATCCCAACTACTAGAAAACACCTTGATATCGTTTGGCTGTGTCCCCACTGAAATCTCATCTTGAATTCCCACGTGTTGTGGGAGGGACCTGGTGGGAGGTAATTGATTCATGGGGGCAGGTCTTTCCCATGCTGTTCTCATGATAGTGAATAAGGCTCATGAGATCTGATGGTTATAAAAAGGGGAGTTTCCCTGCACAAGCTCTTTGCTGCCATCCATGTAAGATGTGACTTGCTTCTCCATACCTTCCACCATTATCGTGAGGCTTCCCCAGCCACATGGAACTGTCAGTCCAATTAAACCTCCTTCTTTGTAAATTACCCAGCCTCTGATATGACTTTATCAGCAGCGTGAAAACGGACTCATACACACCTGAAGTCAAAGATAATACTTCTAAGTTCTTCAAATGAAGAACTGTTCTGTTGGTAACGTTAGGCCACCAAAACATTAATTAAATTCAACTCTTGTTTTACTACCATTTGTATTAGATGTGTTCAAAGTCAAAGAAACTATTTCAAATTTTGAAAAATCCATAATTTATCAAATCATGGACACTTTACCCAAATGGTGATAGTTGTACTAAGATTAAGAAAATTAAATTAACAGAGTGTGTGATTATGGCAGTCACGTTGCATTTCCCCCATGTTCTCAATTGTACATATGAAGGAGACACAGCAAGGCATGGGCCACCTGCCCTGGGCATGGAGACCGAGTCCGGGTCCTCCCTTCTCTGTGCATGGAGCTCTCATCCTGTGACTTTCCCTCACTGTGTCTGGTCTCCACCACAGGGCAGAAGACTCACTGGGCTGCCATCCATGACAGGTGTATGACTCTGTGATTCTGTGGTTCTTATGTTCTGTCCTGTCACAGGTGATAACAGGAATATGTTCCTCTGTTTATAATTACATTTCTGTTCCATATTCTTTAAGGATTGGGAGGCAGGGAAGGAAATGGACATACACATTGGACAGGCTTTGTGGTCCCCGTTCCTGGGAGGAGGTCAGATTCCCTGAGCGGCAGCGGCACCCCCAGAATGTGAACCCCGCGTTGCCATGAGACCTTCAGAGGAGATCAAGATGGAAAGGACTTCTGTGAAACCACGGAGGAGCATGCGGTCGCCTCGGGCCTCCTTCCCACTGGCAAATCCTCGAAGCAGAAATCACCTGATTCCCATCTCATTCCCCTTGGAGTTGGGGAAGGAGTGGGATATACTGAAAAGATCCCTCTTTGGCCATGGGCAACGAAACCACCTGTGATTTCCTGTAATCCGATGAACGTAAAGTTTGAACTATAAGACAAACATGAACTTTAATCTTGGGTCCACCACTCTGCGGGCCTCCAAGCCCAAACCCTTCATCTCCAAACAGAAGTAAGGGAGACTCACCATTGCTGTGTGAGGATGGGGATGGGTGAGACTGGCACAGGGTGCCCCCAGGGCCGGCAGCGTGAGCCTGTTCTGTGAGAGAAAACCTCCTGAGAGCCTCCACTTTCTGGATTCCACGCGTTTGCTACACAGCAGCGTCAACTTGTGGGCTGAATCTCCAGTGAGCTTTGTTACGCTTTTCTCCCACAGAGCCATGGAACATGACTCATCAGTAAATGCAGTCAACTGAGGGCCTTTGCTTCCAGTGCACGAGAAAGAAAACGCTTTTATTTGAGGAAAAATAACATGTATTCACTACTGGACACAAATAACAACATCGTAGAATTCCCTGCTCTTATAGTTCAAAAAACAGAGTAGAAGAAAAAGAAATGCTTCCGTGTGCAATATGTAAAGCTCTTGTTTCTTTGGTTTAAAACTAAATTGCCTTGAATTAAAAAAAAAAAGTGACTCCAAGTACAGAGACCAAGTCCAATGATACAAATAGGAGAGGAATCTGAAGCATCGTAAGAGGAGATTTTCAAGTCTGAGCAGTTAAATGCAGTGTCTGGAAAAGCGAGAAGAGTGATTGCAACCAAATGATCCTATTAAACATCAAACATGAAGATCAGGTGATAAGAAAATATTTTCTCATATAATTATTATTTCATGCGTTTTGGTTGCTTTAGTTTATTCTTAAGGCAATACTTTAAATTTCCCATCAACATTTAAAAATTATTTACGATAGTCTATCGTGTATCACCTTACTAACATATCGGGCGCAGTTAACATGAAAGCGGTTGGCAGTTCCATATGGTTTTTCTGAATGTCTATTGACTTTTCATAAATTTCAGCCTGCACAATTCTTTGTGGGAGGGGCGGAATGCTGGTTCCGGGGGACGGAAGCCTGAATGATGCCTGCTGTGTTCCCACTTTGTGGTGATACTGGCAGTCCCCCCACTGTGGTGATAGTAGGAGTCCCTTGGTTTTTTTTTTTTTTTTTTTTTTAGTGTATTAGGTAATTTTACTTCTCAGTGAAACACATTTCTGAATATTTAGTTGCTTCTTTACATAGAAACCTACCTCCTACCATGCTTCATATTTGCTTAGAATGTAAATAATTTAACCCTACAGCTTCAACAGTCTTAATAACGGGTTCCTCAGCAGACAGTTTCTCTCTTCCTGCAGGAGAAGACTCAGGAATGAGGAGAGGCAACATCCTGTCCCAAGCATCACCTGCCGTGACGATGGCCGAGAGCCACAGTCCACACTCTGGGCAGCACTGGCACCTGTGCCCCAAGCCGTGGGCCTGACTTTTAACTGAACAACTTTATTACATAAGCTTTATCATCTTTCCAGAAGGGTTTTTCTTTCCTTCATACCTCTTTCAAGACTACACTCCCATGATTTTCTGCAAATTCACTGAGTGGTGTGTTAGTACATTTTAACCTCTCATATATGACCCTTAGTGCCTCTTCAGAGTCACTTTTGCTCTTAATCCCAGCCCCTGGCAACCACTAATCTACTTTGTGTCCCTACCAATTGACCATTTCTGGGCATTTCATGTAAATGGAGTTAGAATATGTGGCCTTTTTTATCTGGCTTCTCGGACTCAGCATAAAGTTTTCATGGTTGATCTATGCTTTAGCATGTGTCAATACCTAATCCCTTTCATGGCCAGAGAATATTCCATTGTGTGGATGTACCACATCTTGCTTATCCTGTTACCTGCTGACAGACACTGTGTGGTTTTCCACCCGATACTTTAGGGTATTGTAATAGGGCTGCCATGACCATGCCCAGGCAAATCTTCCTGTGGGCATAAGTGCTCATTTCTCTTGGATAGGACTGGAATTTCCAGGTCTTGTGATAAACTTATGCTCAGCTCATTTAGAACTGCCAAGCTGTTTTCCAAAGTGGTTGTACCATGTTACACTCCCACTAGCAGTGTGTAACAATTCCTGTTTCTCCACTAGGATTTAGTGCTGTCTCTCTTTTTACATTGTAACCATTATTGAGGCGAGAGCACGCCCTTTCTTGATCTCATAGCCGACAGAAATCAAACAAGGTGCAGCAGAGGCAGTGGCTCTCAGAGTTGCTGCCTTCCCATGGCAGGCACCACACTTCATACAAACACTTGTACACACATCACATCTGATACATGTGTTACATTTTATACATACCAACATTTTAGTCATACCTGTGTGTGCACATAGACACGTCACATTTCATACATGCATATTACACACACACATCACATTTCATACCTGTGTATGTACACGAACTCATCACAGTTCATACATTCATACATGCATTTGCACACACACATATTTCATACATACTTATGTGTACACATGTCTCCTTTCATACATGTACACATGTGCATATACATGTCCTGCATACATATGTGCATACACATATCACATTGCATACACATATGTGGATACACATATCACAGTCCATTGGCCAATGTAAGTCTCATGGCCAAACCCAACATCAGGGGACGGGAAGCGTCCGTCTTCCAGAGACAGGCTCCGCGGGTCACACGGAAGTGTGCACATGGTCCTCTTACAGAACAGGCAGTAATTCTGGAAAGCAATAAGGCCTAACAGAACCCCCCACGGTGCTGTGGCCTGGGGTTGTGCCTCAGGTGGGGCTCAATCACCGAGCGCAGTGTGGCCCTGAGTGGAGAGTCGTGAACCGACGCTGAAGCAGCAGAAGACCGATAGGATGGGTGGTCAGTGTTCACAACTGCCTGCCTGGAGACGCCCTAGAGAACAGGGATTCGCTGACTGAGAATGCTTAGGAAATGCAAAATCCCATATTCCTCTTTCGGTGAGCCACATGCATCTTATTATTCCCAAATAATCTCACACTAATAAAATCTATTTAATTTTGACTCAGAATGTCCAAAATTGTGGTCCTGAAATACTTCCTTTGCATAACAGACTCAGGTTTCCATGATTTGTCCCCAGCATCGGATCAGGCCGCCCTCCGATCTTGATGGCATTGACCTAAGCCTCAGGAGGCAGAGCGACGTCCCTCCCTCTGGCCTGCGTTCCTTCCCGACACACCCCTCTGGGGTATTCTAAGGGCACAGTGCTCAGGTTTAGATTTTGTAATCCTCACTTGAAGTCAAGCAAAGTATAATTTTAACGGTCTGTGAGCTACTATAAAGTAAGTTCTCTTTGGGTTTGGAAAAAAAAATATTATGCAAGTGCTCCAATATTTAACCAGGACAATCTATTATTTTATTGAGAATAAAATAATGCATATTTTATTCTCAAATAACTGTTCTCTCAGAAGGAAACAGACATTCTAGGCAGGGGGATAGGGGAGGCAAACAGACAGAATAAACGGAGAGAGGAGGAAAACTTTATTGAATTTAAATAACAGCAAAATCTTTCTCAAGGGCACCTACCACAGTACATCTGGGCTTTCGGGAAAGCCACAGCTATTGACACCCGAGACGACAGAGGATCCATATGAAAAAAACTACTCTAATTATTGGCTGCCTTTGTAATTAGAAGTAGAAAGTATCAAACCATTTGTTCAGATTGATAGACAGGGAATGTATAATGCAAAGAGATTTAAAGGTTACTGTCATATCCTCTGAGCCAAAGAAAAGCAGATCAACTGTTCCTAAGGAATTCAGTTACAAACATACAATTGGTGCACTAAATAAGACTATGCTGCTTTCTTTTTCATTATGAGAATAAATAGCTTCACCTCTCAGAGCTTTGCTTCATGATACTAAATCTATTTATTTAATTTATAGGTACTAATAATGTAAAGAAACTGTGCTGGTGTAATTTGATGAATATATTTGGTAAAGTTATTTCAATAATTTTTAATTTTCATATTGCTTATAGGGGCTGCTGTAAGATAAATACTGCCACTTTCTATCTTAGTTTTGTTTAACATAAATGCAAAACATGATCTAATTAAGGTTTATCAAATGCAAGCTTATTTGTATGACATTATGTCTGCCACAATGCCCATTAGTAAAGGCAGAGATTCTTAATAATCACTTAGATCTTGGATGATTGCTAAGCTTTTAAATTGAGCCCACAAGAGGAAATCAAGAGGCTTGTGCATTTTTCGCTTTGAGAAAAAGGAAAAGTTCTTCTCATAGACTGGTTGGGCAACAAGCCATTCACTTTGACGTGTTATAGAGGCAATATTTATTTAATGATGTTAATCCAGCAACATTTTTTAAATGGTTTGTTTTCAATTGGAGACTTCAGAGAGTGGGTGTGAAGCTTACACCTGCCCAGGTGTGAAAGTAGCTTGCAAGGTGGTGACACGGGCAGCAAACCCAGGAGAAAAGTTACCCAGGGCTTGCTCTGAAACTCACCGTTAGAGGCTCAGGTTCCAGGGGCAACCTGCACCCACATGGAAGCTATTTGACTTCGTGACTGGGCCATGTGAATATCCTTTTGTGAAAGAAATAAAGCATGGAGAACCCAGAGCCATCTATGTACTAACAGGTACTTTCTTACGCTAAGCACCACCTTCTTTTTCTTTTCTTTCTTTTTCTTTCTTTCTTTTTCTTTCTTTCTTTCTTTTTTTTTTTTTTTTTTTTTTTGAGACAGAGTCTTACTCTGTCACCCAGGCTGGAGTACAATGGCATGATCTCGGCTCACTGCAACCTCTGCCTTCCAGGTTCAAATGGTTATCCTGCCTCAGCCTCTCAAGTAGCTGGGATTACATGCACCACCACACCTAGCTGATTTTTGTATTTTTTTTAGTAGAGACAGGGTTTCACTATGTTGGCCAGGCTAGTCTTGAACTCCTGACCTCAAATGATCCACCCACCTTGGCCTCCCAAAGGGCTGTGATTACAGGTGTAAGCCACTGTGCCTGGCCTCCTTATTTTCTTATTTTTCATAAGGGACTTCAAATTCTATAGGTTGATTACTATTCCACTCATTTGGAAGGCCGTGGTGAATTTGCATACCTAAGGACCCAAGATTCTGCCATGGACGCAGTTGCCTTTCAGGGCACTGACCCCACAAAGCGTGTTGACCAGGGAGTCCTGTCCATAAGGGACCTGGAATGGCTCTCTTCCTGATGTCTTCTCAAGTCTGCTGTTATAGGGTCCATGCTTGTGTCTCCCCCAAATCCGCATGTTAAATTCCACGCCCCCAGTAGGATAGTGTTAGGAGGTGGGTCTTTGGGAGATGCTGTCATTGGGTAGAGACGAGGTCATGAAAGCGGAGCCCCATGTTGGGATTAGCGTCCTGATAAGAAGAGAGACCAGAGCTTGCTCTCTGTCTGCACTCCCTGAGCAAGGCCTCATGAGGGTGTAGGGAGGAGGAGGCCTCACCAGAACCCAATCAGTTGGGCTCACTTTCAGGTTCCAGCCTCCAGGACAATGAAAAACAAATGCTGTTTCAGCCACTCAGCCTGTGGCATTTTGTTAACGCAGACTGGCTGACTGAGACACCCCCAGATGCCTAAAAATCTGTTTCCAGACCCAGACACATTTTGCATCTCTGACATTTAAGCTTTGCGATTTCTGCCGTAAACTCTCCAGGTCCTGTGCATGGTCCTCATTTGCCCTTAGCCCCACGCAGCCCAGCCTTGAGTCCAGCCATCTCCACGCCTGTAGATGGCACAGATCAAATCTTGACTTAATTCCCGAATGTCAATTCTGGGAAGGAAGGAGCTGCGTTTGTCCTGATCTCCACGGTAGATCCAGAGCCTTGAAAACAGCACAGCGTAAGAACTTGATACATATATTTGAATAAACAAGGTCAGCTTTCAGGACCCAGTCAAGGGAAACCCAGAAGGAGAAACCTCCTTGGCACCCAGGGCCACTAAAATGCCCTTGAGAACCACGTAGCCTTCCTGGTCAGCCCGGGCCGCCCACTCGTGTCTCCCCGGTTCCCTCCGACCCTCCTGCACTCTTCCGTGCGCTGCTCCCAGGCCCTCTGACCTCCGTGCACACTCACCAGGTTCTGTGGTTCTCCTGCCTCTGGCACACACTAGGATGTACCTTCTGCTCCCCTTGTCGGTACGTGGGCTCCATGCAGCCATCCCAGCCAGTGGGCTGCGAAGACGCAGGTCAGCATGGGCTGAGAACAGAGCTGCTGGAGGGGCGCTTTCTTGTTTATATGGAAATGCCACCTTCGAAATGCTGGGTACTCCTGGGTTCCCAGTAAGCCTGGATCCCCAAGCGACCTTAATGAGCAGAGCTGGTAGTAGTACCAAAAAGCAAAATTAATCTTTTCAGGTGTAAGTTACCTGTAGTCTGGGAACATTTGTTACCATTCCTTGCCTCACCTGAGCTGACAGAGAGGCTGATGGTGTCTCCTCCTCCTTTAATTGTATTTTAAATAAAGCTTTACCGTCCTATAGAACCAAAAAAATAAAATAAAATAAAATAAAAAACAGAGATTTCAAGATGTATAAAAGATTGAGCCTTGTCCCATCTCATATGCTGACTCCTTGGATTATTTAAACCCAAAGAACACTCAACATTGTTTGCAACTAAACTGGGTTTTGTCCCACTTTCTACTCATTCACTAAAAACACATTTGTTGGGAGTGTTTAGTAAACATCAAACATGCAATGATAACTCTGATTCAATCAAGAAGCTTGTAATTTAGCAGAATAGAAATATATCTTTGAGATAATGCTCAAATTCATTCTCAGAGAAAAAGCAGAAACTCACAAAAAGGAAATAGAGAGGTAGCAGGTACCCATATTAATAGAAAACAGTATTTCTTGGGAAAGCATGGCTCAAGATATTAATTAATGGGAAAAGTGCAGCCTTTACCTGGCTCACACCTGCTCCCCTTACCTGGCCCACACCTCCTTCTCTAGGCTTCTCTCCACTGGGTTTCCTGCACGTCTATCCACACAGTGTAATTTATCTTCCTTGGAAAGAGAAAATAGCAAGAGAAACATAAGCGTCAGAAGAACACGTCGGCCCTGGAACCTTCCAGTATGATGCTCCTTATATCCCATTTCCTTTTGGATGCTCCTCCATATCAAGGTATGCCCTTTTGCCAGCAGTCATTTTTACCCTTTCAAGGTCTGTGGCGCTTCCAGTTTCCGTGGGAACTCTTTTCTGCAAAATTCTGCCATTTTATTTCGAAGACTCTGGCCATGGTCTTCTTAGCCCTCCCGTAGAAGCGCGGTGCGCAGGAGGATGAGCCTGGGAGGCTGGCTCGGACACGTGCACTAAAGCCAGCTCCAGGCGAAGGGAGCCGCCACGGTGGAGAGAATGTCGACGTTTCTACACAAGCTCAAGACACTGTTCTGTGACTCTTGGAACTCGTCACCCTCTTTTAGCTTATACATCATGTTGCTAGTGGATTTTGAAAGGGAAAATTTTGTGAGAAAATTTTCTTTAGGGGAGGCGTGTGTTTTGGGAACAGCTGTCCCCACACTTTCTTTCCGTGAGGGGGTAGCAGCACAGAGAAACTGGGGACCCTGAGGCTCAGAAGCAGCATAGCGCGGGCTTCCTTCCTGCCAGTCCCACCTTCAGGTGGCGGCAGTAAACACAGTAAACACCACGCGTGGAGCTCGAGAAGGATCAGAGGAACCTAACAGGCCTCTCCTCCCTGAGAACGAGGCCTCCTCTGCAGCCGCACCTCCCCAAGAAGGAAGAGGCTGTGACCAGTGCCAGGGACAAACTTAATTAGCAGACTGAAAACATGTTTGCAGCTGAAGGATAGTTTAGAACATTCTATTAGCTAAAAATTACCCCAAATCAAAATCCATGGGATCTGTTGGAGCTTCCTTCTAGAAATAGGAGAATACAAATCCCCTGCTTCACACACTTTGAAGGCACGATGTGTTGCTACACTGGGTTCAGGTTGGTTTCAGGTGACTCCTAATCCCACCTGACAGTCAGATTCTATCAGTGCTCTGTGAGGACAGAAGTATTTAAATCTATCTTTGCATGCTCCGCCCAGCATCTAGAACACTGCAAGTTCTAAACGAATGTCTGCTGATTTTTAATTTTCAGATGAAACCTATTTCTGCTATTATCCTTGTCAATATTTGTAGATTTGAGGCATTTAAAAAAAATAAGTGGATAAGAGCTTCCCACTTCCAATACCACTGGCTCCATGACTGCAGAGACTAGGGGTTGCAACGCAGTGTCCGCTGCCTTATTCTGAAGTGTTTAAATTCGGAGTTTGGTGTGCAGAAGACATAAGGAGCCGATCTACTGTCATAAAATGTGCTGCATAAAATCATAAACCAACTCTGAGAGCAGCAGCACCCGCAGCACACGGTCAAGGAGAGAGGGCGGCTTTGTATTTCAGACACTCCACAGCCCAATCGCTCCCCGTTTACCGACTGAGGATGATAAACAACCAGCCTTTCTTGTACACAGAGGGCCTTAAATCCACGGGGCATATCAAGCCAAGTTCCACGGTTGGTCGAGGGACACACACACACACACACACAGAGTCCTCATATACACACCATATATACAGTATAATTGTGTATACACTCACAAAATAGTATATATGTATCTATCTCCTATACACACCTGTAGTATATATATATATCTATGTATATAAACACACACAATTCATTATTTCTCTGTCTATGAAGACTAAGTCCATTTCCCAGCAGGTAACTTGTATCCAGCAAAATCACTATCAGTTGGATTTCTGCCTCCTTAAACCAGGCCCTACATCATTCTTTTTCTCCCACCAGCCAGGAACCTGAAGAAAGAATACAAATCACATTGCTATTTTGAGATGAAAATATTGCCTCAGTAACTGCAGCACTCTCCAGGATGCACGCAGCAGCGGCACGCAGGCCCAGCACGCACTCCCCGTAGTAAATCTGGAGGATTTTTGCTCACACGAGTGTACTTTAGACAGCATGACGGAAGTACACTGCCACTGCACTTAATGGATTTATCAAATACCTTATTTCATGCTTTCTGCTTTTGATTTATGAATTTTGATCCTGGAGACAAGGGCCCTGTGAGTATTGATTGTGGAAAATGTCAGACTAACAGAAGTTAATTTCACTCGTACATGTGGAAGTCTCCGATTCTCTGACAGCGCTGTCTACCAGGGATCAGCTGCCGAGCTTGAGTGACATGGTGCTGTCACCACGGCAGCCATCCCACCGGCAGGCGCCAGCCTTACCGTACCGTGTATTGAAGTGACACACAAATATGTATCTGGACGTGGGTATGTGGTGAGGCCGCAGTTGTGGGAAAGGTGGAGAAGTCCGATGAGCTGGAGGATCTGGCAGGGGAGGGATGTACGAGCTAGCCAGGCAGGTAGGGTGCCATGCCCCCGGGGCTTCACGCTTTTCATTGCAATATGCCTGACAGGATAATGGAATGTCATTCTGCCAGCTCTTGAGCTGGTTAGGGACAGTTTATTTATTGATTGACTTTCTTTGTAAATTATCAATCTTTTTTATACTCCAGTCAATGAGTCATTACTTATGCAATAATATACTAATGTGGTGTCATGCAGCAGACACATCTTTAATCTAGTCTCGTGTCTAGGAGGTTGCATATCAAGGAACGAAATGGTTTTCTGAGCTGTAGTCTTAAGACTGTTCGCACAGGCTGAGCTACAAGACGGTGGTGTCTCGGCAACATTTCACAGTGCATCACACTGTTCTATTGATGCGTAGACGTTGGTGCAAATGACTATGTTTTAATATAATAAGCATAGACACATTAAATTAAAAAACAAAAAAAGCAAAGTAGAAATATGCATAACAAACAGATTTTTCTATTGCAAAGATGGTGAAGCTAATGAAATCTCAGTTGCACTGTAACCTTTTAGTCAATAGCTTTTTATTCTTGGCCAAAAGTGTCTACATCCAAAGGTTGAATATTAAAAACCTTCCTTAAAGCCCTCAATAGCACCAGCCCCCTGTATCATATATCCCTTGAAGCTGAGAACATTGACTTTTAATGAATATGTAGCTCCTTTTAAGACTCGGTTTTCATTCTGAACACAGAAAATAATTGTCTTTTATTTTGTTTTTAACTGACACATGATGTTGTACCTATCTGTGGTTCAGTTTCAATATATGAATACATTCTGTAATAATTGAATCAGGGTACTTAGAATATCCACCTTCTCATGCATTTATCATATGTGGTGATAACACTGAAAATCCTCTCTTCTGACTACTTGGCAACATACAATATAATATTGCCAAGCATAGTCACCTTCCTATTCTGGAATATCGGAACTTCTTCCTCCTATCCAACTGTGACTTTGTACCCGTTGGGCAGTCTCTAGACAGTAGCCCCTCTCCAGCCCCGGTAATCAATATTCTACTTTCTACGTCTAGGAGATCACCTTCTTTAGCTTCCACATATGAGTGAGAAAATGTGGTATTTGTCTTTCTGTGCTTGTTTTTTTTCACTTAGCATAATGTCTTCCAGATTCATCCACGTTGCTGCAAATGACAGGATGTCATTCTTTTATGACTGAATAGTATTCCATGGAGTATATATATCATAGTTTCTTTATCCACTTATCCATTGATGGACACTTAGCTTGATTTCGTATCTTAGCTATTGTGAATTGTGCTGCCATAAACATGGCAGTGCAGCTATCTCTTCAACGTATCAATTTCATTTCCTTTGGAGGTATACCCAGTAGTGGAATTGCTGGGTCGTATGGTACGTTCTATTTTTAATTTTTTAAAGAACTTCCATACTGAGTTCCATAATGGTTGTACAATTTACATTCCCACCAACAGCGTATAAGATTTCTCCACATCTATGCCAGTATTTATTATTTCTTGTCTTTTTGATAATAGCTATTCTAGTTGAAATGAGGTGATATCTCATTGTGGTTTTGATTTGCATTTCCCTGATGATTAGTAATGTTGAACATTTTTTTCATACATTTGTTGGCCCTTTGTATGTCTTCCTTTGAGAATGTCTATTCAGGTTTTTTCCTCATTTTTACATTAAATTATTATTGTTATTTGCTATTGAGTTGTTTGAGTTTCCTATGTATTTTTAGTATTAACGTCTTGTCAGATGCATAGTTTGCAAATATTTTCTCCTATTCTGTAGGTTACCTTTCACTCCTGATTGTTTTCTTTTCTGTGTAGAAGCTTTTTAGTTTCACGTTATTCTATTTGTCTTTTTTTGCTTTTATTGCCTGTGATTTTGAGGTCTTATCCTTGAAAAATATTTGCTTAGACCAATGTTATAAAGCGTTTTCTCTAAGTTTTCTTCTAGTACTTTTATATTTCAAGCTTTTACATTTAAGTTTTTGTTCTACTTTGAATTGATTTTTGTATATGATGAGATAAAGGAATCTAGTATCATTATTCTGCATGTGGATATCCAGTTTTCCCAGCACTATTTATTGAAGGGACTGTCCTTTCCCTAATATATGTATGTTTGGTGCCTTTGTCAAAAATCAGTTTGATTTATGTGTCTACTTTTATGCCACTACCATGATGTTTTCTGAACCCAGAAGATATTAAAACTATTTAACAATGAAATTTAAAATTTATTCAATGCTGTGATGAAATAATAAGCCAATGTGTTTATTTTTGTTTGGCAATGCAAGGTTAAGCAACTTGAGAACTGAAGAGGTAAACATAGTTGACATTTAATGAATATACTTCATAAGTCAGATGTTCTCTGAAAGTTCTGAAATTCTGAGGCTGTTTGTTCTTCTAAATACTTTTCTTGACTGTTTTCATACATCTGAAAATGAGGAAAATAATAAATTAATGTCTTCTTGTTTTATGGCGCTATTTCACATTATCACACTGTGGTGTGGTTTTCTCAAGAGAGAAAGTATTTTCAGGTGAAGCTAAAAATTAACCAAAAGGGCTGTGACATGCAGCTCCCAGTAAGTGGACTCACCTCCCCCACAGTGCACTGACAAATGTATGCAATGTCCTGCCAGTGGTCTTTCAGCTCTCCAGCAACCCTGGTTGATGTTAGAGCACTTCTTGGGTGACAGGTGGTATTTGTTTGGATTTTAACATGAATATTATTTGATGTAGACCTAAAAATTAATAACAGCCTAACCATTGCTTGTAATTTCAGTTGCTGTGTTTATGTAAAGTAATTTTATTGAGGTGCTCAATGTTTAGGATTTAGTCTATATTGAGTTTGGGATTCTTCTTGGGGCCTATCCTGTACTGTTGACATGAATGTAAATTGTTCTAGGGAAGGGCCAAAATAGTGCAGATGTAATAAACAGTTATCTCGCTATTTATAAAAATGACACAGACCAGTGTAAGAGCCATTTATAAAAATGTAAACACATTTTTCGGTCTTGTTTGTTAATAAATCTTTATTGACATACAATAAACTGTGCATATTTGAAGTGTACAATGTGGTAAATGTGAATCTTGTTATACACCTATGAAACAATTACTGCACTCATGACAATAAACATCATCTCCCAGGGTTGGATTATGCATCTTCACAAATGTTCCCTGTCACACCCGCTGCTCTCACTCCCCGCTCCCAGATAATCACCAATCTCCTCCTATCATTCTAGATTGGTTTGCATTTTTCTGGACTTAAATCAAGGGAATCATTCCCACAGCATATATATATATATACACACACACACACACATACACACACATATATATACACACATATACATATATATACAAATATATATATACACATATATACACATATATACATGTATATATACATATACATATATACATATATACATATGCGTATATACATATGTGTATATATACATATGCATATATACATATGTGTATATACACATATGTATATATACATATACATATATACACATGTGTATATATACACATATGTATATATACATATACGTATATACACATATGTATATATATACATATATACACATATATATTAATTATTTTTCTTGGCCTGTCTTCTTAATTCAGCACAATTATTTTGAGGTCTATCCATGTTGCTGCATATTTACTTCCTTTTATTGCTGAATAGTATTTAATTTACATGAATACACCACAATTTGTTTATCTATTCATCTGCTGATTAACAATTAGGTTATTTCCAATTTTTAGATATTAAAAAGTAAAGCTACTATGGAAGTTCATGTCCATGTCTTTGTATAGACATACACTTTCTTTTCTCTTGGGTAGGTACCTAGAAATGGAAAGGCTGGCTCACACAGTAGGTGTATTTTTAACTTTTGCAGAAATACCACATAGCATCTCAAATTGGATGCACCATTTACATTCCCACTAACAATATATGAGTTCTAGGTGCTCCACCTCCTCTCCAAGACCCAGTGTGGTCAGACTTGCTGCTATATAGAAAAACAATCCCATATAGAAAAACAATTGTTTTTGTGTGTTTGTTGATCTTGAAACTTACAACCTTGCTAAATTCATTTATTAGTTATAACGGCTTCATTGTAGATTACACTGAGCTTTCTACATAGAAGATCATGTGGACAGCAAACACCTAATCTGGGTAACTTTCTTTTATTTTTCTTGTGTTATCACACAAGTGAGAACCCTAATATAAAGTTGAAAACAGGTAATGAGAGAGTACATTCTTATCTGGTTCTCACTCTTAGTGGATGATCTGTTAGTCTTTCACCATTTAAGCAGGATGTTAGTTAAAAGTTTTCCACAGGTACACTTTATCAGGTTAAAGGAAGTGCCTTCTACCCCTAGTTGGCTAAGAGTGTTTGTCAAGAATGGATGTTGGATTTGCCAAATGATTTTTCTGCATTTATAGAGATAATAAAATTATTTTATTATTTTAGTTTGTTAATTGATTGTCTTTCAAATGATAAATCAAGCTTGCATACTGGGTTAAACCTTACTTTGTCCTGATATGTTGTCTTATACTATTGGGTTGGATTTTCTAAAACTTTGTTTAAAATATTTGCTCAGGATTAACCAATGAAAGCATCTGAGCCTGGAGTTTTCTATGCGGAAAAACTTTTAACCATAAATTCAATTACTTTAATAAGCATAAAACTGTCCAGGCTTCCTGTTTCTTCTTGAGTGAGTTTTAGTCATTTGAATCTATGATGAAATTGTCCATTTAGGTTATTGTCTGGGTTGTCAAATTAATTGGCATAAAGTCGTTCATAATATTTCTTGATAATTCTTTTAATATCTGTAGAGTATTTACTGATGCCGTCTCTCTCATTTCTGATATTGATGAATTGTCTTCTCTGTTTATTATTGGTCATTCTGTCTAGAAGTTTATCAATTATAGTGATCTTCTCAAAAAAATCTGGTTTTGGTTTTGATGATTTTTTATCTATTGTATTTCTGTTTTCTATTCATTGATGCTTGCTCTAATCTTTATTTCTTGTCTTCTGCTTACTTTGAATTTAATTTGCCCCTTTTCCTCTATTTTATTAAAGCATAAGATAAGGCCATTCTTTTTTCCAATGTGTGCCTTTAATGCTGCTCATTTCAGCCTCAATATAACTTCAGCAGCATGACACAAATTTTAATGTAATGTATTTTCTAGTTTCCAGTTTGCCTTTTTATTTTTTTCTTTGACCCAGTTTTTCATTTGTTTGTTTTTGTTTTTGCTTTAGAAATACATTGTTTAATTTCCAAATATTTGAGGATTTGCTAGACTTCTTTCAGTTACCGATTTCTAATTTAATTCCATTCTTGCCAGAGAGACTAACTGGTATGATCTTAATCTTTTAAAATATATGCAGGCTTTTCAATAATTTGATATATAAGCTGTCTTGATAAATGGTCTGTGTACATTTGCAAAGAATATATATTCTGCTGTAGTTGGGTGAAATGTTGGATTGATATCACGAGGTCAAATTCGTCCAGTCAAACAGTATGAGTCCAGTCTGATTTTCGTCTTAATAGGGTACTGAAGTTTCCCACTATAATTGTTGATTTATCTATTTTTCCTTATGGTGCCACCAGTTTTGGCTTTATGTATTTTGAAGCTATGTTATTAGATGCATAGATGTTCAGAATTGTTCTGTCCTCCTGTACATTTGGGCTTTTATCTTTATGAAATGACTTACCTCTGTCAATACTCTTTTTACTGGAGTCTACTTTTATATTTGTATGCCCACAGTAGCTTTCTTCTTATAATTGTTAGCCCAGTGTATCATTTTCTATCCTTTGGTTTTTAATCGATTTGTACCTTTATATTTACATTGTATGTGTGTGAGTTGTGTGTGTATGTGCATGCACGTCTGTGTGTGTTGTGGGCGGAATATTGTTGAGACTTGCTTTTTCTTCCCAATCTGACAATCTCTGTCTTTTTATTCGATTATTTAGACCAGTCACAGTTGATATGATTATTGCTGTTGTTAGAGATGTCTCTCAGCTAGCTGTTTGTTCCCTATGTGTCTGATTTGTCTCTGTTCTCCATTCACTTATTTTTCTGACTTTGTATATATTAAATGAGCTTATTTTATGATTTTATTTTATTTTATTGACTTATTAGCTATAACTCTTTGTTATTGCAGGGGTTGCTTTAGGTTTTATAGTATATGTATGTGATAGGCAGAATAACGGCCTCCCAAAGATGTTCATGTTATACTCCCTGAAACCTGTGCATATAGCATGTGACATAACTAAGAGAATTAAGTCTACAGAGGGGATCAAAACTGCAAATCAACTGACTTTATGATAGGGAGATTATCCATTGGCCCACGTAATCACAGTTCTTTAATGTGAAGAAGGAGGCAGATCATCAATGTTAGAGTGCTGTGATATGAGAAGGAATAAGGTGGCCATCTCTGGCATTGAAGATGGAAGACAGCCATGACCATCTCTGGTGCTGAAGATGGAAGACAGCTATGAGCCAAGGAATGCAGGCAGCCTCTGGAAGCTGAAAACGGTAAGAAAATGCCTTCTCCACGACAGCCACTAGCAAGAAACTCAGCCCTGCCAAAGCCTGAATTTTAGCCAAATGAGATCCCTTCAGATGTATGGCCCCCATAACTGTTAGACAATATATTTATGTTGCTGTCAGTCACTGAGGTACTTTTGGTGATTTGTCATAGCAGCAATAAGAAACTAAGGCAGCATACACCCGTAATTTAGCACTGTTTATCTTCAAATGTCATTATGTCATTTAATATAAGGACCTCATAAGAGTTTACTTTCATTTCTCCTCTTCCAGACGGTGTGCTATTCTTGTCATAAATTTAGCTTGACATTACATTGGTATTATTGTTTCAACAGGGACTTAGAAGCAGAAGCCATGTCACAAAGTTTGGATATGTGTCCCCACCCAAATCCCATGTTGAAATGCAGCCCCCGTCATTGGAGGTGGGGCCTGGTGGGAGGTGCTTGGATCATTCGGGTGGATTTCTCATGAATGTTTAGCACCCTCCCCTTGATGCTGCCCTCAGGATAGCGAGTGAGTTCTTGAGAGATCTGGCGGTTTAAAAGTGTGTAGCACCTCCCTGCTCTCTCTCTTTTGCTCTTGCTTTCGCCACGTGACTGCCTGCTTCCTCTTTGCCTGCCACCATGATTGGAAGCTTCCTGAGGTCTCCTTAGAAGCAGATGCCACCATGCTTTCTGTACAGCCTGCAGAACTGTGAGCCAATTAAACCTCATTTCTTCTAAATTATCCAGTCCCAGATATTTCTTTATATCAGTGCAAGAACGGCCTCACACACCACATCTGTGTCTCTGGCAGCAGTGAGACAAGATAGTGGATCTCCCTGACGTTACCCCCAGACCCAGGGCTCATACGCCATAGGGGAGGAGTGGTTCACAAAGGATGTGTGTGACAATTGAAGTGCAATACCACCAAGATTGTTTGACCAAAGGGCAGGATTTATGGTAAGTCCATGCCCTTATGCAAGAAACAATAAACTGGAAATCTTGGAATCCTTCTTGAAAGATGGGTTAATCAGAAGCTGATGTCGTGGATTCATGTCCGAGATGGAGCTCCTTTTGCTGCCACACCAAGCAAACTCCTACCCCAAACTTAAGCATTGTTCGTGGTATCTTTCTTCCAGGAAGAGTTTCCTTTCTGGACTGCCACTGGCATTAGTTTAAATGTACTCAGAATATATTTAAACTAGGGGATGGGCTCCTTCTGTTTCATGCCTCAGTTCCACTGTGCACATGTGGCCATCCTGCACCACCAATGACTTTGCTATTACTCTGTCTTCCCGCCTTCCGCACTAGACTCTGAGCAGTCTGAGAGTAAGGAAACTGTTAGATTTCTTATCATCCTGAATAAGCATCATGCTTGACACATAATAGGTACCCAGTAATTAACTGTGGAGTGAATAAATGAATGAACAAATGCCGTAATGCACAAATGAGCACTTAGCTGAGGGCGACAAAGAATATAGAATATTGACGGGACACATCTCTCATCAAGGTCATAATTTCCAAAATGCTGGGGATTCATGTTGTGACTTCACAGTAAAGAGCTTTAAGCTTAGTTGGAGTTTGCAAATCATGGGCGCATGACCCAAAGGTAATTAGCTATGAGACTGTGCATTGATGTAGATTGGCAGGTGGTGTAAAAAGGCGTCAGCCAGAGATACTTTCCTAGGTTATGATGCCGATGGCGATGAGCTTCCCCAGGAAGGACTGAAGCGCCACGTGGCTTTCTCTGTGGCTCTAGGGTGGACAGTCTGCAGCATACACCACTCAGCCATGCTTGCTGTTCCCTTTCGGCATCTGGCACTCAATAAATAATCGCTGGATAGTAAATAAGTGAATATATGCCAAAATATCCACATTAATGTATTGGCTACTTTCTTTGCAAAAGCATTTTTGATTCATCAAATAACGGCCGAGAGTGCCCGGATGACACCTGTGTCAGACGACACCTCACGGAAATGCTGGAGCTGATGTTAGCTCCGTACCCACAGCAAAACACACCTAAAATCTGTTAAATCTGCTGATTTCCAAAATTCATATATATACACAAAGTGTTAAATCAAGGGAAACAAATCTATCTGTGAAGATACCTTCAAATTTTAAGTGTTTCTTAATGGTTATTGATCCACCACCTTTTAAATTACCTCAGAAGTGTGTATCCTGATATTTTAAAAAAATACATTGGTCTAGTCTATTTTAAGAAGTCTATTTGTCCAAATGAAACATTTAAAAATGGGAATTTTAGGGAACTTTTTGAATTCTAAGTAATGACTTTTATTGTGGGCTAGCCTCACCTTTCTATTACATTTAGTCATTTGCTAGTACTTCATCCACTTAATCATGTCTTTTAACATTTGCTTATACGGCAAAATAAAATAGTCATAAAAACAAGGTAGCCCTCACTTTTCGTCACTTCTGTATTCATTACTACAATGAAATTATGTGGTCACGTAATTATGTCATTTATTATGCTGTATTATTTCAATGCACCTAAAAGATGGGAGGGAATATCTTATTCTGGGAAAGAGAACAGGAAATAAGACATAAAATAAACGATGTGTATGGCTAGGAGTGAAAACGGAATTACTGCAGGGAGAAGAATGATCTCTGGCTCATTCTCTTGGAGCAGGAAATGGCACCAACTAGCTATGGCATAAAACACTCTGGCTCTTCAACAATGAATTTTCCTGGTTTTCAGGAAGCATAATTTTGGTATCTAAAGCAAATCATGTTCGTCATTTCCACAGAAGTTACTCAGTGTCCAGAAAAATCTTCCCTTTAGCCCAGCGTGGATAAACCATGATCTCAGACGGGTCTCTGGAGAGGGGCCGTGGACCCAGCTCTCCTGAGCGCCTGCAGCAGGGAGCACTGAACCGTCTCCCCCACGCCCGGCTCAAACCAGGCCACTCACCGCGACCTGTGCCCCACCCAGAAAGTGAGAAATTAGAACTTTATTCTCCCTGGGCCGACACTCCGCCTCCCTCCCCTTACAACAGAGGGGACGAGAGGCAGCGCCAAGCCCGGCTTTCTGGCTTTCTCCTCCGGCAGGCCTGAGTCTCAGTGGTGCTGGCCTGAGGTCAGGAGCACCTGCGGTCCCAGCCTCAGCCTCCCAGCAGCTGGGATGCTGGCCTGGAGGGGAGAGAGGGAGAGGACACCAGCACTTTAACCCCCGGACCAGGCCTCCAAGCAGACTCTATCAGCTTGAGCTCGCCCTTGAGAAGCTGATGTTAGGGTTAGGACGAGACATGAGCAGAGCTATTTGCTGCGGAAACATCAACTAAATATTTACCCCATGAATCCCTCCTTCTCTGGGGTGATCACCCCGGGACCAGATCCCCACCAAGGGGCAGGGCACTGACCCCACACAGATGTCCCCTGGTGACCCCTGGGCTCCACCTTCTGCTCAGCCACCTGGCTGCACTTTCCTGCTCCTCCCCGCCCAGGGCTGGGGCCGAAGGCACCTGGTCCCACATCTCTAGCTCCAGTTTCTGCCATGTCGTGACCCTGCCTTTACTCCTCCAAACTCTGTCTGCACTGCCTTGTACATCGGAGGCATCTCTCCCAGGTGCCTGCACCTCTCCGTGGGGCACCCGCTCTCTGGAGTCCTCACCTTTTCCTGCCTCCTGCTCTCTGCCAGGACAGCCTGGGGGTCGCAGGGAGGGGGTTTGCCCTGCAGCACGGAAAGGGTGGGCCAGGGGCTGCGAGCCGCAGGGCCTCCAGGAAGGGCAGGTGCGGGACTGGGATGCAGAGGGTAGTGGCCTGGACTCTACACGAAATGGAGTGTGGGCTCCCAGCAGGCCACCGCCCTGGCGTCATCCTCAAAGAGCCACGTGGCAAAGGCAGTGAGAGGCACACAGTTCCCATTGTGCCCAGAGATGTCCCAAAGCACAGTGATGACAGGGATTCCCAGAGAAGGCAGTGGGATTTGCTGAGCATGGAGAGTGGTGAGGCCTGGGGCTTTGTGTTGGAGAAACATCGCCTTCACATATGAGGACCAGACCCGTGTCCCGGCCCAGCTTTCCCGACCTGACCCCAGCAGGAGCAGATGGCATTTTCTGTGGGTCCAGGAGGTGAGAAAGGCGGCAGGGGATAAACAGGAACGCATGCCACCTGCTGCGAGGAAAACAGTGCCGAGCAGGACGCGCAGAAGCCAGAATGTGTGGGCCGGTATTGTGGCCCCAGGCCGAGTGGCCTCTCCATGACACAGATGTCAGGGTTTAACTCAGACCTGCCAAGTGGAGCCTCCGCAGCAGGCCCAGGAAACCCAGAGACCGGCCCTGTTCCCCGTGAGGATTCAGGCACCACGGGCTGGAAAGCACACTCCCTCGGAACGTCTCAGGGACAGTCATCAGGACCAGATTCTGGAAGGACGCAGGGTGGTCTCTCCCATCTTTGTTTCGACTCCTCTCTCCTCTCTGATCGACACCCCTGAGGCAGCGCTGCGGTGAGTCAGTTCCGCAGGGAGCCTGTCTTCACCCCGGACCCCCAGGTCTCTGGCTAAGAGCACGTGATTTATAGACACAGTTCCCCACCCCCACAGGTGTGGGGAGGCTCCCTGCAAGCTCCCCCTCACTGGAGGGTAAACGAGCTTGGGAGCAGCCCTGAGGAGGTGTGGCAGGGTCCTGGTTTAGCCCTCCAGCTGCCTTGGCACTTGTGTTTCTGCGAGGACTTGATCCTCTTTGTTAAGTCAGCCTCAGCAGGACCAAGGTGAAGGCCGGCTCTTCCAGCAGGAGGGCGGCCAGCCCAGCCCAAACCCTGCCTCCCCACCCTGAATTCTGGTCATGTCCACTCACTTACTGTTCGTTAGATTGATTTAAAAAGTAAAACCACACTTGCGATTTTTCTTCTTTTATAGAGTGAAGGAAAAACCTCTGTCAGAAACTAACTTAGGGGAACCAAGGTTCACTATCATGAGGGTCTCTGAATGTTTGTGAAGAAAACACTGCTGTTATCAAAGAGATAAGCATTGGCTAGGAATAATTACACTTTAAAAACTCTCAAATTGGCAGCATTCATAAAAAGGCCCCCAGAGAATGTTTTCCAGATGTAGAAAGTGGAGACCTAAACACACAATTCCTCAAGTGTTTTCATGGATAAAGAAATGCACAAGTAATGGGAAATAACACCAGCCATCAGCTGTGGGAGTGTGGGGGGAGTAGAGGTTTGTGCATGCAGTCATGTGCCTGTGTGTGTGTCAGTACATGTGTGTGCATGTTCCTGGGAATGTGACTGTGAGCATATGTGCATGCATGGGCACGTGTGTGTGTCTCTGTGTAAGTGCACATGTGTGTGCAAAAGTGTGCATGTACCTTTGAATGTGAAAGTGTGTGTGCACGTGTGTGCCTGTGTGTTACTGCACGTGTGTGCATGTACCTGAGAATGTGAAAGTGAGTGTGTGTGCATGTGTGTGCATGTGAGTGTGTGTGCCTGTGTGAGTGTACGCATGTGTGGCCGTGTGTTTGCACACGCACATGTGTGTGCCTGTGTGTTTGCACATATGCATGCGTGTGCCTATGCCTGTGTGTTTGTGCATGTGCATATGTGTGCGTGTGTGTTTGCACATGTGCATGTGTGCCTGTGTGCGTGTGTGCATATGTATGTGTGCCTGTGTCTATGTGTGCCTGAGTGTGTTCGTACAGCTGTATGTGTGTGCCTGTGAGTGTGTGCCTGTATCTGAGTGTGTTTGTACGTGTGTGCATTTGTGTGTGTCCCTGAGTGTTTGCACATATGCATGTGTGTGCCTGTGCCTGTGTTTTTGTGTGTGCATGCATGTTCGTGTGCCTATGAGTGTGTGTTTGCACATGTGAGTGCGTGTGCATGTGCCTGTGTGTGAGAATGTGTATGTATGTGCCTGTGCCTGTATGTGTTTGTGCGTGTGCATGCATGTTCATGTACCTGTGTGTGTTTGCACGTGGGTGTGCATGTGCCTGCGAGTGTGTGTGAGCATGTGTTTGTGTGTGTATGTGCCTGTGTGTTTGCACGTGTGTGCAAATGTGTCCATGTGTCTGTGAGTGTGTTTGCGCACGTGCGTGTGTGTCTGAGTGTGCGTGTGTGTGCGTGTGCACACAGACACATGGCATGTTCACGCACACAATTCACCTGCTGCTTAGACTTTGTGCCTGCGAGTGTGTCCATGTCTCTCTTTTGCTTTCTTTGGCTGTTCTACCGCAAAAGACCCAAACACCCTGACTGGCCAAACGCACCAGCTATGGAGGGGATGCAGACACGTGTGTACGGCCTAGCTCCTCCCGCAGCCTCCGACAGCTTGCGGGGTGAGCACGGTTAACAAACCCTACAGCTGGCGGATCTGTGCAGACATAATTGCACACGAATGGCGGGGGAGCCGGGAAACCAGGAAGAAATAAAATAGATAACAAGCGAAGGGAAAAGTGGCACCGTAAACAAGCCGCGTCTTTTCCCTCCGCAGAGCGAGCCGTGTGTCTGGAGGCGGTGTCTGTGTGCAGCTTGACTCCTAATCCATATCGCAAACAGCTTCCAGATGCTTCCAGCCCCAACCTACTCGGGGATTCCTGCCCTTCACAGATGCCTCTCCAGGAGGGGGGTCTGTCTGTAAGTAAAATGGGGTGGATTTTACTAATCATTCATTTCCAATCTTCCTGACGGAGACTTTTATTAATAAACTCGTTTCATCTGTCTCTTTGATGAGGAAGAATTTACCCGCTTAGCCATGGGAAAGGAGCAGGAGGGCTGGGTGGCTGTCGTTGTGAGTGTGGGTTTGTGTTTGTGCACACACACTCTGTGGACATGCCGAAGAGGAAGGACGTGCACGAAAACGCAGACCACCAGCCCTCAGAGGCTCCAGTGGGGCTTGGGCAGCGGCGAGGGGTGGAAGGGAACCGGCCGCTCCCTGGCACGAAGGCCGGACGGATGCCCGGTCCCCTTCCTGGCTGCAGCCACCCTGTGCGGCCCCAGTGCTCTGGAACTGGCGGAGGTGGGGGGCACTGGCTGGTGGGATTGAGGCCACACTGGGAGACTCGCCGTCCCCAGCCGTGCTCTCACAACCTTGCCTGTCATTGAGGCTGTCTGCTTAATCGAGAGACACAAAGAAAACCCTTCTTGCGTCCTAGGGTTGGCTTGGAATAAGGGAAGAGGTGGCTTCCTTTCTCTTTCTTCCTGCTCCTGCTTCCGCCCCTGCTTATTTCCGCATGCTGTTCTAATCCGCGCCTTTGAAATGACAGCTTTCAGAACTGGGAGAGAAAATAACGGTGCTGATTAATTAATTCCCTGACAAATTTACAAGCTTTCAAATGAGTTTCATCCTAACCAGGTAAATCCTTTCACTTTTCTCTGCGGAGATGCTTTTCCTTCCCTCCTGCTCCCTTAATCCCAGTGCCACCCTCTGGATTTCAGCAATTGACTGAGCTTCCCAATTCCAAGGAAAACGGAGGTGATTAGAATCAAATTTCCCCAAATTCTCCCCTTGCACCTGGTCCATCATGGCTCCTCCATGTGAACCTTCCTCTTGCCTCAGAGCAGAGGCGTCGCCAGACTCCCCAAGCTCCTCGATCCCGGTGGCTCTAGGGCTGAGGTGCAGGCTCCTGCCTCCCTGGCCCTCTGCTCCTCAGCCTCTGCTTCCCATGCCCTCTGATCGCTCCTCCCATCCACCTGGGGCGAGGACTTACTGTATCCTCTCACCGCCCAGCTCTCATTCTCTCAGCAGCGTGACCAGAAGCACCTGAGTTTGGTTCCTAAGTCAAATCCCTCTTTATTCCAAATGGCTTTCACAGCATCGTCTACATGATTATAAAACACAGACCTCATGCCTCTGCTCCCAGTGGCCACCCTTATGCCCAGAACAGGTGCCAGGCGACTCCACCTGCCTGCCAGTCACCATTCTGTCCACACATCCAAGGGCCGCACGACCAGCTCTTCCCAAATACACCTCAGCCTTGGGCTGCTCACTCCACGATGGGTACCCATACCTCCCTACCCGGCCAGGCAAACCCTACTCTTTCAGAAGCTTCCATGCATGGGTCAGCCCCCTTGGTTGTTCCACTGACCATTACCCAGCCCTCAGCAGGCACAGGAATGATTGCTGTCCATTTACTCATTTTCTTTTCTTTCCTGCCTTTCACATATTCTCTTGTCACATTGAATTACTCGACTCTCATAGATGATGTGTTTCTTAAGGGCAGAGCCCGTGCCCAGATCACGGTACCTTTGAAACAGGTATTTGCTGGATAATTTTACTTGACAACACTGGGTCTCTGAAAGGTTAATTGGCCTGCCTCAGACAGCAGAGCAAGGAAGGGGGGTGAGAGCGGAAGAAGCCTGGGTGTCCCCTCTCAGTACCTGGATTGGGGTCCCCACTCTATCCTGTCCCCTGCTTCCAGACTCCAAGCCCAGATCTTGTTGTCTTTGCTGCTTTGTTAAAGATTAGAGATGTGATTAATAGTAGAAAACAAGACCATCTTTTAAAATATCTTACTACTGCAGGGCATCTTTAAGTTATTTCTGTTGTTCAATTGTGCTGTCTAACAGTGACCCCCAAAATTCATGCCCACCCAGAACCTCACAATGTGACTGTATTTGCAAATAGGGTCTTTGCAAATGTAATCAGGTTAATATGAGGTCACATGGAATTTGGCTGGGCCCTAATCCAGTGACTGCTGTCCTTTTAAAAAGAGGGAAATTTGGACACAGATACAGAAAAGAAATGGCCCTGCAGAAACGTGGAGTCCCACACAGGAAGGAGCCTTGTGAAGAGGGGGTAGGATCACATGTTTGTGTCCACAAGCTGAGGACTGCTGGAGCCCCAGAAGCTGGAGGGGTGGGGGAGGACCTTCCCCTAGGACCTTCAGAGGGAGCCCCAGAAGGTGGAGGTGTCGGGGAGGACCTTCCCCTAGGACCTTCAGAGAGAGCGGAGCCCTGCCGACACCTTGATCTCCAGCTTCTAGCCTTGGTCTGTTCTTGCACTGCTGTCAAGAAATACCAGAGACTGGGTAATTTATGAAGAAAGGAGGTTCAATTGACCATGGTCCTGCAGGCCACACAGGATGCTCGGTGCTGGCATCCGCTTGGCTTCTGGGGAGGCCTCAGGAAGCTACAATCACTGTGGAAGTCAAAGGGGAGCAGATGTCACATGGCCGGAGCAGGAGCAAGAGTGTGGAGGGGCCACACGCTTTTAAACAACCGGATCTCCTGGGAATTCATTCACGATCGTGAGGACAGCACCGGGGGTTGGGGGGGGGGTGGCACAAAAGCATTCATGAGAAATCCACCCCTGTGGGCCAGTCACCTCCCACCAGACCCCACCTCTAATACTGAGAATCACAATTCAACCTGAGATTGGGGTGGGACAGATATCTGAACCATATCACACTATGAAAGAATAAATTCGTGTTCTTTTAAGCCACTCATTTTGTGGTAATTTGTTGTGGCAGGCGTGGGCATCTGATATACCCATTAAATCATCACAGGTGCCAAAGCTCACACTCACGTACGAGGCAATTTTCAACTGTCAGGATCAACGTGGTTTCTTCCTTACATGGCAAACCTATCCCAAAGTTATGCTCTCAATTCAGACAGGAACTCAGGAAAGCCAAGGCTGCTTGGAGAGTGGGATAAAATATTTATGTTTGGTCAGTGAGGTCAATGCAGACAGAAATAGAGTGGCTTCAGTGAACTTCGAGAATCCCGTCTCACCCCTCGGGACAGAACAGGGCAGGAGTATGTCCTGGCATTTCAAATAGAGCCAGTGACTGCCCCAAATTCCCATTGCTAATGTCAGCAGGCATAGGTTAGATGTGTGTACAATGGCATTGGCTGAACTGTGTGTACCACAGTCTATGGGTAGCATTAGACACGGGCTTTTCAGAACACACACAATCCCTTCCTCCTGATGATTGATTCTGGAAAACTTATGTTTAGATTTTTTGCCTTGGATCACAGGAAATTCTGAACTAAAGTTGACCCTTCAGAGTGATGATTAAATTGTCTTCCAGATAAGCTTTATTTTTTCCTTTTTGTGGTCTCGACTATCCATGCATTTTTCTTATTGAACATGTGATAAGCTTTAGTAAGTCAGTGAAACCCTGTGGGGAGGAAGTGGGTTGCAGACGTAGATTCTGACAGTTACATGAACATATGCATGAAAGCAGAGATTAAAAACTGGCACATGTGAGCTCCAAAAAGCTGTCAGACCCAAGGCTTGGTGTGGGAGCAGGTGTCCTGAGAGGTGCACGACACAGAGGAGGAGTGAGGTGGGAGGACAGATGAGCAGAGAGAGCTGGACACGGTCACGGCACAATCTCCCATGAGCAAAGACAGAGAAGGCTGAGTGCACATGCCCAGGTGGAGCCAGGAACGCACTGGCTCGGCTGCCACAGAGGGTTTGTGTGTGAGAGACAGAGAGTGTGAGTGTGCACACCCAGCTGGATTCGGGAATGCACTGGCTTGGCTGCCTCAGAAGGCTTGTGTATGAGAGGTGGAGAGTGTGAGTGTGCACACACAGGTGGATTTGGGAACACACTGGCCTGGCTGCCTCAGAGGGCTTGTGTATGAGAAGCAGATAGTGTGGGTGTGCACACCCAGGTGGATTCAGGAATGCATTGGCTCAGCTGCCGCAGAGAGTTTGTGTATGAAAGACAGAGAGTGTGAGTGCTCATGCCCAGGTGGATTCGGGAACACGCTGGCCAGGCTGCTGCAGAGGGCTTGTGTATGAGAGGTGGAGCGGGGCTTAACAGGTAAGCAGAGTTTGTGCTGGGCAGAACCTCCCATGTTGGAGTAAGCCCTTTGGACTCACCTCTGATGATAAGGGAAATATGGCTCCAAGGCAGGCATAAATGATGCCAGTATGCATTTGCTGTGAAATTTCCAGAATCCCTTCAGTGGGCAGCGTTTCCAGTGGGGCTACACGAGGGGCTGTGCAGGACCCGCTCTGGGTGAGCAAAGGACTGATGCTCTTCTGCCCTAACCATACAGAGGACGTGATGCTGAGCCTCCCTTGGATGCCGGAGGCCACCTTCTCATCTTCACCTGTCACTTCTTCTTCCCTATGAAAAAGTTATAGGTACAAGAGAAACAAACAAACAAGGTAAAATAAACAAAAAAAAAATCACTCAATAAAAAGGCAAAGATAAAGCAGTAAAAGTAAGCAGCCACGGTGAGAACAAAAATGCCCAACTGGACAAAACCATCACAGAAGGCCAGGCAGGGTCTTTGGTCTAAATTAGAAACAAATAAAGCAATAAAGCATGTCTCCAGAGCGGAGTCTGAGGTCCAGCAAGGGAGCCGGGTTTAAGGGAGGGTCAGGGGTGAAGGTCTCGCAAGGCGGGCGTCTCTTGAGGCTGGCCTTCCCTCCAGATAACCACGGGCAGAGAGTGCTTGTCCTGACCACGGCGTGATGACCAGAGGACATCGGCCCTGGCCTGTGGCAGGCACCGAGCTCTCTGGAGCTTTGAACCCTCAAGAAAGCAGAGGTGCATGCGAACACTTAGCTTTGCCTCCTTCACTTTCTCAGACCCCAGAACGTCTCCCGGTGGAGTCCAGAGGGCAGAGAGTTCCGGGCACACACAGTCGGGGCTCCCGCATCCAACTGATGGGGTGGAGCCCTTCCTCTTCCTCTTAATTGATGCTGAACTTGAGCTCAGGCGAGATCGCATTTTTGTTTTGTTTATGTAACAAAGTGGATTAATACTGTTGTCTTTACCTGAAGGTTTCGATGAAGGTAAAAGAAAGTTTATGACAAACACTTAGCCCAGTGTCAGACATCTAGAATATTCAGAGCAAATTACAGCTATCAGTATGCACGAAAACCTTCACACACACGACAAAAATGTTGAAATTAACTAGGTGGTACATAGAACAGAAAGGAAGAGGCTTTTCAGATGAAAGGACCCCTTTGAATCTGAACCTCACCCCTCACTCGATGTTGAGCAAATTATTAAACCTCGTTGAGTCTGATTTTCCACATCAGTAAAAATACTTAAGAATGTATCTCACGTGTATGTAGAATCTTGTGTGCTCCAGAAATGCTACCTTCTTCTTCTCAAGCAGTGTTCCAGAAAGTATTCTATAGGTTATATAAGGTACTTTTCCCCCCAGCAGAAATTGACATCTAAAACATTTTAATCATTTGCCTTGTTTATTAAATATTCAGATTTAAGAAATGACTTCCTTCAAAGATTGACCTCTGCCTAGGCAAACTGTTGCATTCCTTTTGGATTTCATCTTAAATACTCAAACTGATGTTTTAAGTGCCTGCAGAATTGGGTCTATTCTTATTAAGCTATGTTTGTGTGTGTGTGTGTGTGTGTGTGTGTGTGTGTGTGTTCAATATTAAAGTAAAAAGAAGCTAATTGACCTAAAATAATTTTCTTCTTGAGAGACTCTGGAGATATGATTTGAAAATGATTGGTTTCGAAAGAAGAGATTATAAAAATTCTGATGAGTCTTTCTATTTTCTTTACACATACACGCACAACACACAAGCAACACACATGTACACACTCATACATGTGCACACAGAGACACACACATACAACACATGTAACAGCTGTGCACTCACACACACGCATGCACACACACATACACACACGTGTGTGCACACACAATTTTCCAGCTTATGCTGTAGTGATCTCATTAAGAAAGATTCTTTGAAAGTAAGAGTCAGTATTTGGGGTCCCTAAGCCAGCAATGACATGGCTTCTGATTGCCTTTTTAGGTGACTCTTTTGTTGCAGCTCAAGTGAGCTGGTCCCACATGAGGCTACCTGGTTGGCAACAGCAGAATTATGACACAAGTGATCTTGTTTTCTCCTTACCTTTGATTTTCTTTTTGGATTTTAATAAAATGAAATATGTAGCTTATCTATAAATTATCTGTCTAGGTTTACTTTTTATGTCCAGACCATTTTAGGATCTATCCTTAAAGAAGTGCCACAAAAGAAGTAAAATTACTATTAATACTTTAATAGTTAATACAAATAAAAGATTTTTATTGTATTTTTAATTTTAATGGAGGTTAATTTTGATGATAAGAAAGGAAGAGATGATAAAGGAAGGAGAAAGAAAGGGAGGCAAAAGGAAAATCTGAACTTCTAGGTTAAGGTTTTTAGAAATATATACAATTTCATTTAATACATATTTAAGAAGTAATAGTAAATAATTGATCCTTTTTAGACATAAGTGGCCCATCCCAGAAGCCAAAGCCAAAACAAATGACAAGAATCACTCTGCCATCTTTGGCCTTAGTAGATGGCTTTTGCAGACCAAGTTTTGTGGTAGCGTGGGGAGGAATGCTAACATGAGTGGCTCTAGAGGAACCACATACTTGTGTGAGCTTTCCCTTTAGTTTGCTTTTGCAAGGTAGGGGTCACCATCCAGATCAAAACCAGACATAGTACCAGTTAACACACTCCTTGCAAAACCAGTGTCTACTTCTTGGTGCCTCAGTAGATTCCAAATCAAACCCACATTCTGCCTGGGCACCACATAGTGTTAAAAAGAGGCATTCCATGACAGAGTGTGACCATATCTGACACGACAACACATGACAGCACATGGCAATGCATGACACGATAGCACATGACAGTACATAGCACAGGACATCAAGTGACGACACACAGCATGTGGCATGACAGCCCCTGACAAAACATCACAATGCATGATGTGATAGTACATGAAAGTAGATAGCACATGGCATCGCATGACGATGCATAGCCTGTGGCGTGACAGCACATGACAGCATGACAGCACATGGCAACAACACACGACACAGGGATCAGCATTCAAACAGTAAGTGCAAAGCAGCTAGTTTAGTCATTGCCAATTTAACATGAAAAGCAGCTCTACAAATTGGAACTTTAAAAGCAATTGAATTTGTGATTCAACTGTTATATTTGTCTTTTGTAAAATAAATATATGTTCAAGTCAAATATTTATTGAGTGCTCAGCAGTGAACTAGACAGGAAATGGGATGAAGATCCAGGTGTGTGTCCTTCCCGGGGAAATGGGATGGAGATCAAGCTGTGTGTCCTTCCTGGGGAAATGGGATGGAGATCGAGGTATGTGTCCTTCCAGGGGAAATGGGTGAAGATCGAGGTGCGTGTCCTTCCTGGGGAAATGGGATAAAGATCGAGGTATGTGTCCATCCTGGGGAAATGGGATGAAGATCGAGGTGTGTGTCCTTCCTGGGGAAATGGGATGAAGATCGAGGTGTGTGTCCTTCCTGGGGAAATGGGATGGAGATCGAACTGTGCGTCCTTCCTGGGGAAATGGGATGGAGATTGAGCTCTGTGTCCTTCCTGGGGAAATGGGATGGAGATCGAGGTGTCTGTCCATCCTGGGGAAATGGGATGAAGATCGAGGTGTGTGTCCTTCCTGGGGAAATGGGATGGAGATCGAGCTGTGCGTCCTTCCTGGGGAAATGAGATGGAGATCAAGGTGTGCGTCCATCCCGGGGAAATGGGATGGAGATCGAGCTGTGTGTCCTTCCTGGGGAAATGGGATGAAGATCGAGGTGTGTGTCCATCCCGGGGAAATGGGATGAAGATCGAGGTGTGTGTCCTTCCCCCAGGGAAATGGGATGAAGATCGAGGTGTGTGTTCATCCTGGGGAAATGGGATGAAGATCGAGGTATGCGTCCTTCCTGGGGAAATGGGATGAAGATCGAGGTGTGCGTCCTTCCTGGGGAAATGGGATGAAGATCGAGGTGTGTGTCCATCCTGGGGAAATGGGATGAAGATCGAGGTGTGTGTCCTTCCTGGGGAAATGGGAAGGAGATCCAGGTGTGTGTCCTTCCCCCAGGGAAATGGGATAGAGATCTAGGTGTGTGGCCTTCCCCTGGGGAAATGGGATGAAGATCGAGGTGTGTCCTTCCACTGGCCTCTTATGCACAGTTATGTTATTTCCAGGCAGTCTCTGTGTTCACTCAGGTTTGAGTGTAAAATCCCCACAACTTTCTGTGTTTATCTCCTGTTTGGTTTCCTTCTTTAACTTATCTTTCTTATTTTTGTGTCTCTTTGCTTCCACATCTGTGAAGAGTTTAGAGGCACCTGTATAGTTTTAGGGCACAGTCCCTGATACTACCCTGACTTCAATGATAAGTTCAGGGGTTCCCAAAGCTGCCCCCAGTTTCAATAAATGTGCTGGGAGGACTCCCAGAACTCACTGAGCTGGTGTCCTCGTGGCTTTGGTTTGTTACAGGAACAGGACCTGGGTTGTCTGGGGAAGCCATGCATAGGTGGCGGTGGGGACGCACACAGGGCTTTTCAGTGTCCTGATCACACGGAGTCAGGAGATGAGACTCTGTCCTCTCTCAACAGCAGGAATGACAATGAGCATGGAGATTGTCCAACATGGGAGCTCCCCGAGCTCGGTGTTCAGAGTCTCTACGGGGCCTCCACTACATGGGCGAGGTAAGTCCACCGTTTGGTCCGTGTGGTTTAGCTCGGTCCCCATGTCAGTGGATCCTGTGCAACCCAATGTCCCCATCTGAATCACCTTTTGCCATCCGGCCAGCCCAAGACCCCCAGGCAGACAAAGATCATCCTGCAGGAGCCAACCCTACACCTTTTGGGGGCAAAGTTAAGTTCTTTACTACCCAACACGCAGGAGCTGTCCCTGCGTTAAAGACAGTTTATCACCTCCACACAGGAATCCCAGGATGGCATGTCAGTCAAACCTGAATTTGACTACACTGTCACTTAATACCTGTATAATTTTGGATAGTAACTTAGCTCTGCTCAGCCTTGCTTTTTCACAGTGACAGGCACAGTACCTCAAATGCCGTAGCACTCAGAATTTGTCACCTCACCATGATTATTACAAAGCAATCTGTCTCCTTCATGCTACCCTAAAAAGTTATCTAAGACCCTCTGAATTTCATAGATTTCCTCCTCCATTCAGCAAACACTCACTGGGCTTTCATCAGCCTTAGTCTCTCTTTTAAGGGACTGATACATGAATGAAAAAACAGTCTGTACCCACAAGGGGCTTGCACTCTGGTGGAAAGAGAGAGAAGGTAAACAGACACACAAATGCACTATTATGAATGCCACAGCAGGTGTTTTTACAAAGGAAAGTACATCTCACTGGTAAAGTTGTGGAGGTTTCAGAAGAAAGAAAACACATGTATTAGAACAAAAGATAATTTGCAAAATGAGGAGAGCATTCTGAGTGTGATGGTTGGTTTTATGTGTCTGCTTGATTAGACTAAGGGGTGCCCAGGAAGCTGGTAAAACATTATTTCTGGGTGTTCCTTTTGGGTGCTTCCAGATGAGATTCTCATTTTACTCAGTAGACTGAATAAATGAGACATCAGCTCTCACCCATATGGGGGACCTCTTCAGTCTGTTGAGGCCTAAATAGAGCAAGAAGGCAGTGGAAGGTGAATTCACGCTTTCTGTGAACTGGGATATCCATCTTCTGCTGCTGGAGTTCCTGGTTCTAAGCCTTTGACCTTGGCCTGAACTACACCATTGGTTCCCTTGGTTCTCAGGCCTTTGGGGTTGGACAGGGCCTTACAGCCCTTGCACATGGCAGGTCATGGGACTTCTTGTACTCCGTGATCACATGAGCCAGTTCCTCATAATAAATCTCATCCCTCTCTCTCTCTCTCTCTTCTCTATAGTTCTGTTTCTCTGGAGAACGCTGGACAGATAGAAAAGCGTAGGTCTGAAGAGTGAGAAATGCTCACATATTCTCAATCATGCACGTTGCTATAGATTGAATTCCTCCCACCCAAATTCATATATTGAAACCCAACTTTCCAATGTGACTTTAAGAGGAGGTGTGACTCCTGGGAAGGGCATAGGTTAGATGAAGCCATGCATGTGAGGCCCCCGTGATGAGATCTTATGAAAAGAGGAAGAGACGCCACTGCTCTCTCCTCTCTTTTTGGGCACCTGCCATGAGAAGGCACATTGAGAAGCCAGCCGTCTGTGAATCGGGAAGGGAGCCCTCACCAGAACCCAGCCCAGCTGTACTCTGGACTCGAACTCCCAGCCTCCAGAACTCTGAGAGGTAAATTTCTGTTTTTTATAAGCCACCTAGGCCATATAATATTTTGTTTTGGCCACCAGAGTGGACTAAGACACTGATGTAATAAAATTGTTTCAGCAGTGAAGTGTAAAACAAAACACACTGAGAACTTCTGCTTTCAGCCCTGGGAGCCCCTGAAAGCCTCAGGCACGGGAATGACAAGTTGAGCAGCAACAGAGCACAGACAGGAGAGTAAAGCTGGGAGCCTGGGAAGGTCCCAAGTAGCCTGGACGGGGCCTGTGTGGATGAGGGTGTGTCGGGGGAGGACACCAGATGTGTTTAGGAGGAAGGAAGGAGAACCTAGCTATGGCCGGCATTTGGCTGGTAAAGAGATGCCTTCTCAGCAGCATCAAAGCATCGTGACCTTCTCTGAGTGGAGAAAAGAAAGAGGTGTGGGCAGAAAAGTTGCCAGGGAACAGTGCAATGGTTAGGAACATGGGCTGTCATCACAGAGAGCATGGGTTCAAATTCTGGCTCTAGCAGTGACCACCGGTGGCCTCGAGCACATGGGCACGTCAGCATCCCGGTAGGTCCCTCTGCAAAAGGGCAGTAAAGAACCTAGACAGTCAGTCTGAACAAGTTCCACTCACTGTAGAGAGTGGGGGATATGCTGGTTCAGATGTGAAGATGTAAGAGCTCTGCCCGACAAGTGCCAACCATGATGGTATGTCCAGGGCCCCCAGCTTGCTGGACATATGTCCTCTGATGCACTGGGGGTACATTGTTGACCATGATGGTGTGTCCAGGGCCCCCAGTTTGCTGGACACATGTCCTCCAATGCCCTGGGGGTGCATTGCAGGCTGTCCCCTCTCTCAGCACCTCAGACTTGCAGGACTTCAGCAACAGCCCTCATGTTCAGCAGGGTGACCCCTGTGAAAGGACTGAGCTCTTAACCTGTGTCCTGGTCTCTCCCCAAACAGACCTGGCTGTTCTCACCCTTGGCCCCTGATTCCTGCAGCGTGAATCAAATCTAAAGTCTTCTGGTTCCATCCTGTTGTGTGGGAAACACAACCCCCTTCCTCTGTGGCCTCCTTTTCCCTCCTGCTGGAGCACCGCTGCTAGGCCTGATCTGCAAAGCTGCAAGGTTGTTTCCAGCACTTTGGGAACTTAATATGTCTACAGCTTTCACACCAGGCTGCCCCTCTTCTCAAAAGACATCTGAACCTAGCACAGGTTAATTAGATCATTATTTCAAGAGACAAAAGCTACAAGAAGTCCCCAGCAGCACACACACATTTCCAGTGATGTCAGACTTTAAAATTGTTTGTATTTATTCCCTAAAGAAAGAAGTGCTGCCACAGTGAAATTATTATTTTTAAAAGTGCTGCAAAAATATTTTACAAACTTTACCTTCAACTGTGATTTCTCCCTCTTAGCAATTCATAATTATATATTGCCTTCTCCAAATTCCCAACCTACTGATTCCATTCCTAACAGTGAATGAATCCTTCTAGTTCCTTTCATAATTACTTTAGCTTTTCTCCAGAAAAGCTTTTTGTTGTTGTTTTACTTCGTGGAAACATATGGCTGATGGTGGGGACTTTACTGTTTCCTAATTTGAAAAAGAAAGCCATCAACTTCCACTCACCTATGAATGGGGTATTTCCTCGTCGATGGTCACATCAGAAGAGGGGCCCAAGTGTGCACCCAGCATGTACTAAAAGCCGCAAGTGGAGAGCTGGGGCCATCTGCAGCAGATGGCCCCACACACAGCGCCACCATGAAAGGCCATTGGAAACAATTAACTCCATTCACGCTAAGCAGAAATAAACAATCACCCATTCAAGTGAGAATTAGTTCCACTATCTTTCTCCAAGTCATCAAAACAAAGCTCTCCGAGTTGGGATACCTCCTAAAGTACCTTAGCAGCACGGAACCACACAAACATCCCCTTGCTTGCCGATTTCTGTAACCCAAGCCAGAGATAACTCGACATTTGCATTACTAATTGCTCTCTTCCAGAACTTGTTGACGCTTGGGTTGGTTTTGAATAGACCGCTAAGTGGCTCTCCAGACATAAGCAGGGCCCATCTCACCAACTGCAAACAAGCTCGCCTATCTGTCATCAGGCGGCTATTTCTTTGCTCCAAGAAATAGACAGAAAGTCCCCTGAACACTCTAGAGGGATCTGTTTAGATGAAGAGCGTGGGCGGCCACCCTCCCTCCTGCTTTTCTGCTCTGGCGTTGGCTCTTGATGCTGAAGGGTCCATGCACCACACCCGCCTCTCTCCTGCAGGAAGTCCCCAGCCCTGGGAGCCCACGCCTCTCCCCTCGTGCCCTCAGTGGGCGCCTTCCCTATCCATCAGTTGCAGGGACAGGTCTTGGTGCTGGCCTGTTCTCCATAAGCCTCCCCTGCTAATGCGATGCTATGACCATGCGGCCACTGCCCGCTTTGTCCTGGTACTCCCCAAAAGACTCGGGTTTGAACTGCGGAAACATTTAGGTGAGGGTGGAAGTGCAAGTCGGTGGCATAATTAATTAAGTGATTGCATTTATGCGGCTCCTCTGCTTTTGAGTCCAATGCTTAGAAAGTGAAAGGATCTTAGCTGTGTCATCACTAGCATCACAAATGGAGACAACGGGGCGTGTAGGGAAAGGATAACTGAGAAGAAGATACAACAAGCAGGAGCTGCACACGGCAGGGCCGCAGCCGAAAGACGCCCCAGCAGCAACTGGCATCAAGATTCCTCAGACTCCATGAGTCTTGCTGCCAGGGGATAGGGTCGGGGTGAGAAGAAACCCCTAAATCGAGACCTGGCTGCCTTTTGCTGGCCAAACCAACCCCCACACAAATGTCCCTAACTTCATTTGTTTTCTAGGCCTGTTTCATAATCTGTGTTTTTCTCCGGCTTAATGCATTCTTCCCCGCCTTTGCCAGATATCCAGTAGTGACACAATAACAGGGACACAAACCAGCATTAAAGGGTAATTACCCACACGGCTCACTCCCCGAGCAGGGCTGTGGAGACACGTCTCTCCTCTCTGTTCCCTTCCCCATTCACCTCCCTGCAAAGGCTTTCTCTAAATCCTGCCTGTCCTACAAATCTCAGATTATGGTTAGCATCCTTCAAAAAGCCTTCCGTGGAGGCGCAGCCCCCATGCTCCGTGGGTAAAGAGTCTGGGCATGGTACCCTGGTGGCATGTGGCTCCTGTGGTGCTTGGCAAGGGGCGGCCTGGCCAGTGTTTCATTTGTCCCTTTTGCCGCTGAAACCGGAAGCTCCTTGAGAGTATGACCCTTGGATTTCCATCCCCAAGACCTGGTACTCCCTGTGTTTACTGGCACTCCATGCATGCTTGCTGAACACATGAATCGCTGACTTCCTTCTGCTACTCATTTGGAACCAGAAAATCTACCTTATTTTTGTTTCCATTTTCTTCATCTCGAAGGTGAGGGGACAATAGCCTTCCTCCCAAGACTGTGGAATAAATAAGAGACACATCGCTCCAAAACATTTTTTTTCGAATGTTTCCACTATAAAAGAACAGCTATATAAAATGACTTGACAAATATGTAATAAATGTACTTGCAAATCACTTAGAAGGCTTCTTGATGATTTGATGAAGTTTAAAAGTGCCAGGTTGTTGTGATTTCAGTGTATTTGCCTATTCATTCTCTGTTCCGTTAAGTGGAAAAACCCATTTTAATTCTGGTACAAAGGAGATGCACACTCCTGCTCGGAGTCACTCTAATGACATCAGCCGGGATGAAGCCGTTCCCGCCACTAACATCATCGTCATTACCGCTGGTAAAGGAGTGCTGTACAGCTCAAAAGAATTTCTTTTTTTAAAAAAATCAACTTATACCTACAGTAATTTTAGGTATGAAATTAAAGCAGGCAAAAATACCCAACCTTGGTAGATATGACAATCATTAAACGATGATCCCTGACAGTTTTGGAAAGAGTTCACAGCCTAAAGAAGTTGATTTCTAATTAGACGTGAATTATACTGTTTCCTATATTATGTTTAATTAAAGAATGAGCAAATAGTTGTGACAACTGGCGAGATGGTGATTTTGCACCATCTCGGGCTCAGCTACAGCTACAAAAGGGGCATGCAATCAGCAATTGTCTTTAAAAAGAGCACTTAGTGTAAAATGATTAGTTTCATCAATTTAGACCTATTTTCTTAAACAAATAGAACTACTAAAATCGCTTTGTCTGTTCAGATTAGAAGACCTTTTTACCACAGCAAAAGAGGACTATTTAAACTCCACTGGTTCTTCTTAAGGGGGCAAATCGCTTCATTTCACACCATTCACTGGCATCGCATTTACCACAAGTCTGAAAAAGTTTCTCTTGACAGATACTAATTTGCCTAATTTTAGTGTCCCACTATATAAAAACCCTAATTACTATTTATGTTAATCAGAATATTATTTTAATATTCCAGTACTTTATTATTCAAAGGAAAATTGCATCTGTAAAATTGTAATCAATGATTTCTGATAATCGGAAAGGTATTTGTATTTTTGTAAATAAAGGAAATGTAACTTTTAATGGAGGGGAAGGAAGTAGGCTAGCAAACCCAACTCCACTTAATACAGCAATTACGTACACATCTGTAATAAACACGCCCGCCCATACACATTGTTTTTGCATAATTTGGGTATGTGTAAATGAATGTTTCTTTCTTAAACCAATTTCTGAAACCCTCAGAGTAAGTGTAATGTAAATAGTTTGGAAATCACTATGCTATATATAAATTGCACAATTTTATAAAAATACATATGTATATGAAAAGTTACACACATATATCAGCATATGTATTTAGAGTTCGGAAGAAAGAAGCTAAAGCTAGGTCAGACAAATTGCTTTGGATAATATTGTGAGGAATACGTATCACAGATGTAAAGAGACAACATTTTGCGCTTAAAAATCAAGTAATCTAGAGGAAAAAAGCTCGCTGAATTTGAAATAAAATTGCATGTTGTAATATGTCATTAAAAAATTCAAGACAAGGTCTTAAAAGGTATTGTCAAAATCATTTAATTTCATGCCACATTATTTAGTGTATTTAAGGCCAGACAGAGGCTCCGAGATAATGCAAATATGTATATTCCTATTGTAATTTCACTTCACAGGTAGCCTAAATAAATGCTACAAAGAGTTTGGACTGCCTGCTGTAACTTAAAGCCGAACACTTTTCTAGAACCAGGAGAGTATGTCTAATCATTCTTCCTACTGAAATATTATTGTTAACCTAATATTAATTATATTTTCTTAGGTTAGGTTTTATACTATATTTTGTTTTATTATAATATTAATCTATTTTAAAATGGTATATGGATAATCTAATTTATTGGCTTGTTACATTAGCAAGATATTCACTTCAAGTAACCTGAAATGTATAGAGGCTTTTACATGATACCTTTAATCAATGGGGCTTGAATTCTTATCAGTGCATTTTGCATTATGATGGAAGACATTGATTAAGTTTTGCTTAATGGATTATCAGATATTATCTTCTGTGCAATTTGTAAAGAATTAGGCTAATAATTTTCTGATCTTAAGGTCCAGAAAATTTGGTTGCTTTAATAGGGCGTGATTTATTACTTGTACAATGATCAGTTTGATACAGAGTATGGCAATTAAATTTAGGAATGTTGTGTGGTTGCCTGCGAGAGAACATCAAACATAGGATGAATATAACGAAGAAAAGTATTTCCTAGACAGTATTTACGTGGTTACAAAATAAATTCATTTAAAGAAAATCAAAAATTAACACTTAACTAACTTTAGAGGAAATTCAGTACTGCTAAAAACTATCAAATTTATATATATATATATGGATTTCAAAGTAACTTATTAAAGCATGTGATGGGATGATAATATAATATAAAAAGGACACAAGCTTCTTACTGGATAATTAGTACAGTTAATCAATCTGACATGCTTAAAAAATATAGAGAATATCTAAAGGCTCGATTAAGGGAAAAATAACAACTAAGTATGTGAGGTGATATTTTGTTTCAAGAGAGTATACATTAAGATACTTTTTAACTCTGTATAGAGAAATTTGGAATTTTAAAAATGGAAATATAATGAATCTTTCAGGCCTGCAAAAAATTTCAATCAGATTTTAATATCAGTTATTACTTGTTTCTTGATTGCTTTCTTTTCCCCTTAATCCAACCTCATTTCTTCTAAAATTACCTCTGCATTATTGCTTTTTTAAAAAAAATACAAGAACGTTCTTTATATATGTGCGGTGTTTTTATCCTGTGCTTCTTTTTAACCAAATGATTTATTATGTCTACTCTTAGCCCACTCTTTGAAACTGTAAGCATGGCCACTCACACTGAAGTATCTGGGAATACACTAAAATATAATATTGGCCACATTAAATACCAACCAATCTTATAAACATCAATAATGTAAGTTGCATGCACTGAAAACCTCCGGGTGAAAGTAAAGAACTCAGACATTCATTTGACCAGATCAGACTCTGTCTAAACAGGTAGTCTTGCACAGACCAGTCATTTCCACAATTAATACTTTACTAACCATCTGCATTTTCTTACAAGATTATAAGGATAGATAAGAAGCATTAAGTAGACTACATGTTTTTGTGTATACAAATATTATTTTTAATTGGAATTATCTTTTCTAGTTAATATAGTTATTTTAAATTAGGGCAGAATACAGAGTAAAATATGCCACTAAACTTCTCAGACACCCAGAGAAAGCCCTGTGGTGGTTTGTAAGAGGCCTTCCTCCCCAAGTGGCCAAAATGCTGGGCCGTCGTGAAAATGAGAATGGCATTGGGAGCCCTAGAGGCATGGATGCTGAATGAGTGAATAAATAAATAAATAAATAAATAAATAAATTTTTGGTAGAGATGGGGTCTCTCTATGTTCCCCAGGCTGATCTCAAACTCCTGGGCTCAAGAGATCCTCCTGCCTTAGCCTCCCAAAGTGCCACCATGCCTGACCCTTGGATGCTGAATTTAATGGAATGCTAGAAAGTAGCAGATTATGAAAACACTAATTTCCTGATGGTGATTACCTTTTGAGACACTTATATTTTCTATGAGAGTGAAAACTGGTTTTGTTGAAGGTCATGTATTAATTCTCAATCTCTTTTTGGAGGTGGCGGCTATTTCACGGTTATATGAGAGCACTTTAAAAAAATTGGAAAAAGAAAGCTTCCTCTTGGAAAGTGTGATTACTCCCAACAATTGACTCCATTCTAAACATCTGAAACAGTATAAGCAACGACAGCTGCATTGGGGTAAATACATCAAATATACAGAAATATATAAAACTTAATCATGTCATTTATAGTGTGGCTGTTAAGCTGCAAATTGCATTGGAAAACGTTAAAAAAAATAAGGAAGGCACCTCAACAATCTGCCCACACAGCTCTTTTACATTAAGCTGGAAACTCATTCTGCATCCGTGTGAAACAAACTGGATCAGGTTCATAACCAGCACTTGAAAATGTTTTTGTTCTTACTCTGGCTGGTGGAGAGCAGGAGAGCACTCAGCCGGGACCGGCAGGATGTTCTCATTCTCCAGCCAGGAGCCGGTTCTGGCCCTCTGTGCGCAGGTAGCAGCAGCGTCGCTGGTGGGGAGGGGAGAGTCTACCTGCCAGGTCCCAGCTTTAAAAGACCCCAGGAGGAGCAGACTTCTGATTTAGCAGGGTTAGGTAGCGCTGACGAGAGTGCTTTACCCAGCATAGAACCTGGATTCCTCGGCTCCTGTCATCTTCCAGTAGAGAAACAGACAAGCTCCCGGCATCTCTGTATTGCAGTGGTTGGGTTTGCTGAGTGTGGTCATCGCACCCCTGTGTTGGAACACGGGATATTTGTTTGATGGTTGTAAATTCTGATATCTATTTCAATCCCTTTTTCAGGACAATTACACTCCCAGCCTACTTGTCTCCACTTCCTGCAGCCGCACCCACTCTCTAGGATCCTTAAGCGAAGAACAAGCCCAGGGCTGTCCAAAGGAAGGGGGATTTCCACTTCTTATCTTGCCTTACGTTGTATTTACACATCCAGTTCAGATGTCAGGAAAGCCGTCTGTCAGTTCAGGCGCGCAGGATGGCACTGGATCCACTGGGCGTGTTGGCCATGTTTGTGATTTCTGGACAATTGAGGAAGAGCCATATCTCTTTTGTTGAAAATAGATTTATGGCATATCCATACAACATTTGAAGACCATAACTTTAGCAGTTAATGATTTCATGTGAGTTTGTACACCAAACCTAGCTCAACATTTCATGTCTCATATAGTTGAATCAAGGTGATTTTCTTTCAGCTAAATATATGTTTGAAAATTATTTCCTAACGTAAAGATGGAATTAATCCTTGCCCATCCAGACTTCCATTTGCTGTAGTAATAGCTAACACCTACTATGGCCCTGTAATATGCCCAGCATTCTTTGAAACACTCTAAAGGTAGTTAAGTCCTTTAACTCCTAGGGCAGTCCTTATGAGGAAGATGAGAAACCTTTCTGCATTTGACTCTTGCAGAAATAAGAACCAGGGGAGTGAAGGGGCTCACCCAGTGTCACAGGAGCAGTCAGGGGTGGAGCCAGCGTGTGGACACAAGGCCTCTTCCAGCTGCCCACTGTTTCTATGCTGCCTCTCCGCACCCCACCGCAGGTAAGACCCTCCACAGTGTCATCGTGCACCTGCAGAAAGCCTGGAGCCATGTGCAGCCAGGCGTATACCTGGGAAATATACACCATCAAGTTATGTCCACTGGAATCTTCGGTGGCAGGATGGAGTTTTTAGACCAAACTCAATGTCTGTGTCTGAATGAATTCTTGGGGGATCAGCAGGTTTCCCAGTGAAAACTATTACGTGGCTCTGCTACCCCAAACCCCAAACACCCCTCCCCTGGAAACGCTTAGCACTGGAGGATCAGTTGATGCCGCACACTGTGAACTACGCTGGCATTGCCCAGATCTGCAAGGGGGGCCCTTCCTTTGTGTTTCCCATCAAGTCAGGAACCTCGAAGGCTTTCTGTGGTTCTCCTGCGCACCAGCTGCCAGGACCTGACCACTGCACCCACCATCGCCAGCACAGAAAAAATATCACCACTGTATCAGGGCAGATGGTCGGGAACAGCAACAAAACATTCCCCAACTAGAGCCGCAAACACAAACAGCGCCCATCATGCAGAAATTGCCTTGGCGTGCGGGTCATTGGTGATTTCATTTGTAAGTAACGTTTTGATTGTCACAGATTATATGTTGCTCTCCTCCCCTGACATTTGTTGTACAGCAGGATTGATTTTTGTGCTCCAGTATGAAAAGGTCACTTTGATCAATGCAGTGTAATTGGCACTAAATTAGGATCATATCATGTTATTTTGCTATTTAATGATGAAATATTAAAGAAAAGCATTGGTAGATTGCAGGCACTAACGTGCTCTTTAAACCTGCTGTAATGATGCTTTATCTTGTAAGAGAAAAACAACTAAAGTGCTGAAAATGACTGTGATGTATTGGAAGAGTGGCCTGGAATTATGTATTTTCATTGGAGATAGACTGAGAGCTCAGACACAAAACACCAGGCCCAGCAGTCAGTCCTGCTCCACTGCACAGAGCAGCAAATACGGAGGCTGTTGATGGCTGTGCTCATTAGGTGCCAGTGAGAAGTACGAAGCCTTTCATTCTGCATATAGTAATTATGTTTAAAAACATTTCTGTGCTCTGCATCCACTTATTAGACAAACCTCCGCTTTTGAAAATCTGCAACTTGGTTATGGTGTCCCAGCTTGCAATGCTTTTCTGTTTCTGGAGAGCGTTCCCAGGCCCTGGCCTGGCCTGTTGGGTTTGCACCTAGAGTAATTATAAGCGTCATAAGGAGTGTTAAATACTGTGTGTTATTTCCTCCATTGTAAATAGATGTGTTCCTCCATTATTCTAAAATGTTGTTGAGCAAGAAAAGGCTGCATACAATTATACTTATAAGTGCAGCTAATGTTGCAGGAAATGTGTTTGGTGCTTTGCTGCCATGAAGTATATTATCTAGCTGCAGCATGAGCTAAAACGGCTGCTAAAAGATGTTAACCTTTTTAACAGCTAGAAATATGGAACCACAAATATTGATAAAATGATACAGGATGCAGTTTAGTACAGAAGGGGGGCAGGTGGGGGTGGCTCCCAGGCACGGCAGCAGTGGCGGAAGGCAACCCCTTAAGGACGCCGCGGGGCCGAGAGCAGAGCTCACCCTTGAGTCTGCAACCTTGGCTCTGAAGGTCCTCGGCCCTTTCTCCAAGGGTAGTTCCAGAATCTTTCAGACAGTAGTTTCAACATCTGTTTGTGGCTTCAAGGACAAAGAAAATAAAGGTATTGTAACAGAGGGCTTCACAGTAACGTTGACACCTGACCTGCTGTAGCCTCTTCAAAAAATGAAAATAACAGTAATCATTGGGATTAAAAAATGCTTTTTTTGGTATTAATGTTTGTTGTGGGTTTAATTGTGTCCCCTCTCAAAAATATGTTGAAATCCAAACCCCAGTTACCTTACTTGGAAATACAGGCATCCTTCGGTGATGCTGTGGGTTTAGTTTCAGAACACTATCATAAACCAAGTCACACTAATTTTGTTGGTTTCCAAGTGCCTGTAAAAATCATGTTACATAATACTGTCATCTAGTACATTTGCAGTAGTATTACATCCTTAAACATTAACATACCTTAATTTAAAAATATTTTATTGCTAAAACTTGCTACCAATCCTCTGAGCCTTCAGTGAGTCGTCATCTTCTTCCTGTTGAAGGGTCTTGCCTCGATGTTGATGCTGAAGGATCAGGGTGGTGGTTGCTGAAGTTTGGCGTGGCTGTGGCAATTCCTTAAGTAAGACAATGAAGTTTGCCACATCAATTTCTTTCACGGAGATTTCTCTGTAGCATGAGATGCTGTTTGTTAGCATTTTACCCACAGTAGAACTTCTTTCAAAATTGGAGTTAATGCTCTCAAACTCTGCCACTGCTCTATCCACTAAATTTATGGAATATTATAAAGCCTTTGTTGTCATTTCAATGATGTTTATAGCATCTTCAACAGGAGGGGACTTCATCTCCAGAAACTACTTTCTTTGCTCATCCGTAAGAAGCAGCTCCTCATCTGTAAATCTTCTCATGAGATGGTAGCGAATCAGTCCCATCTTCGGGCTCCACTTCTAACTCCAGATCTCTTGCTATTTCCACCACATCTGCAGTTACTTCCTCCACTGAAGTCTTGAGACCCTCAACATCATCCATGAAGGCTGGAATCAGCTTCTTCCAAACTCCTGTTAATGTTGATATTTTGACCTCCTCCCATGAATCAGGAATGTCCTTAATGTTATCTAGAATAATGAATACTTTCTGGAAGGTTTTCAATGTAATTTTCCCAGATCCATCAGAGAAATCACTATATATGGCAGCTATAGCCCTTGCAAAATATATTTATTGAATAATAACATACAAAGGTCAAAATTACTTTTTGTTCTCTAGGCTGCAGAAAGGATGTTGTGTCAGCAGGCATGAAAACAGCATTCATCTCTTCATGTATCTCCGTCACAGCTCTCGGGTGACCAGGTGCATTGTCCATGAGCAGGAATAGATTGAAAGGAAACTTTTTTTCTGAGCAGAAGGTCTCAACAGTGGGCTTAAAATCTTCAGTAAACCATGCTATAAACATATGTGCTGTCATATGGACTTCGTTGTTCTACTTACAGAGCACAGGCAGAGTAGATTTAGCATCATTCCTAAGAGCCCTAGGAGTTTTGAAATGATAAATGAGCATTGATTTCAATTGAAAGTCATCAGCTGCATTAGCCTCTAATAAGAGTCAGCCTGTCCTTTGACTCTTTGAAGCCAGACATTGACTTCTCCTTTCTAGCTGTGAAAGCCCTAGATAGGATCTTCTTCAAATAGAAGGGTCTTTTTTATTTCTCCATTGAAAGTATTTTGTTTAGCATAGCCACCTTCATCAATGATCTTAGCTAGATCTCCTGGAGAACTTGCTGCAACTTCTCCATCAGCACCTGCTGCTTCACCTTGTGCTTTTGTGGTGTGGAGATGGCTTCTTTCCTTCAACCTGATGAACCAGCCTCTGCTAGCTTCAAGCTTTTCTTCTGCAGCTTCCTCATCTCTCAGCTTTCATGGAATGGAAGAACACGAGGACCTTGCTTGGGAAAGGCTTTGCATTAAGGGAATGTTGTGGTTGGTTTGATACTCCATCTAGATCACTCAGATCTTCTCCATATCAGCAATAAGGATGCTTCATTTTTCTATTATTTGTGTGTTCACTGGAGGAGTACTTATGATTTTTTTCCCCAAGAACTTTTCCTTTGTATTCATAGCTTGGCTAACTGATGCAAAAGGCCTCACTTTTAGCCTGTCTTGGTGTTCAACATGCCTCCTTCCTCAAGCTTATTCATCTCTAGCTTTTGTTTTAAAGTTAGAGACTCATCCCTTCACTTGAACACTAGTTGTTATTGTAGGGTTATTAATTGGCCTACTTTTAATAATGTTGTGTCTTAGGAAATAAGGAGGACTGAGGAGAGGGAGGGAGATGGGGAGTGTCCAGTGGGTGGAGCAGTCAGAACATACAAAAGATTTATGGATTAAGTTTTCCATCTTATACGAGCATGCTTTGTGGTGCCCCCAAATAATTGCAATAGTAACATCAAAGATCACCAATCGCAGATCACCATAACATATGTACCACGAATGAATGCATTTGAAATATGTGGAGAATTACTGAAATGTGACACAGACACATGAAGTGAACAGGTGCCATTGGAAAAATGGCACCAGGAGACTTACTTGATGCAAAGTTGCCACAAACTTTCAATAAAAAAAAAAAAAAAAACTCAGTATCTGTGAAGTGCAGAAAAGCACAACAAAACGAGATACACCTGTAGGATCTTCGCAAATGTGATTGATACAGTCTAGCTCTGTGTCCCCACCCAAATCTCATCTCGAATTGTAACCTAGTTGTGACTGGGGAAGAGACCTCCTGGGGGGTGATGGGATCATGGGTGAGTGAGTTCTCATGAGACCTGATGGTTTTATAGGGGGCTTTTTCCCCTTTGCTCTGCTATTTCTCTCCTGTTGCTTTGTGAAGAAGGACATATTTGCTTTCCCTTCTGCCATAATTGTAAGTTCCCTGAGGCCTCCCCAGCCTTGCAGAACTGTGAGTCTACTGAACTTCTTTTCTTTATAAATGACCCACCCTCAGGAAATTCTTTACAATAGTGTGAAAATGGACTAATACAGCGATCCAGTTTAGATGAGGGTCCACCGGACCTGTGTCCTTATAAGAAAAATGAGAGGGATTTTGGGGCAGGGAGACATGGAGGAGGCACGAGGGGGAGGCCACATGAGACAGAGGCAAAAATGGTGTGTGATGTGTGTACAAGCCAAGAAATGTGGAGATTTGCCATCAACTACTCCTAGGAAAGGATCTTCCCCGTCAGCCTTTGGAGAGAGCGTGGCACCATCCACACCTTGATTTTGGACTTCTGGCCGCCAGAACTGTGAAAGAAAAAATTCCATTGTTTTAAGCCACCCGGTTTGTGGTACAGCAGTCCTAGGAAACTGATACAATAGCACACGTATTTTACCTAAAAAGGACCAGGGCTATTATATTTTTCCCAAATCCAGTAATTTGAAAGCTGCCCCATTTTTTTCCGTCAGCATTATCATTGATTGCTGTTTACAGTGATAAGGCATTTAGGGGAAAACATCCGTGAGATGCGCTTGTCTAAGGAGACACTAGAATCCCGACTGGAGGTTTTGAGACAGCTCTACTCCATTCATTACTCAGAACAATTTATTGAGTATCTACCCTGTGCCAGGCATTATGCTTTTGCTGGGATGAGAGTGGAAAATAGCAAGTGGTCCTTTTCAAGCTTGTACAGACGCAAGCAAGTAAAAAGTTAAATATAACATGATGCCCGCCTGATGGGCACATGACACCTGCGTAGAGCCCAGCAAGATCTTCTGGAGGGAGCAGGGGCTGCTCTGAACTCTGGAGAATAGGATACGCCAGAGCTTGCCAAGAGAGGTCTCCGTGAACGTGTGCATGCGTGCACACTCAGAAGCATGCGCTCCTGGGGTCAGGGCTGGCTTGGATGTGGGTAGACAAGCAGGGGAGCTGCTGGAGGGAAGGGCCCTGAAAGGGCGGAGGATGGAGGGCGGCACCTGCAACTTCAGTTGAGCCTGGCTGGAAGGCCCAGGGTGCTGAGACCCCCCTGAAAAAGTCCATGTGCAGATCTGAGGGCTGTGGGTGTGGGGCTAGGCTTGGAAAGGGAGCCATGGGAGGCTTATAAACAGGGTGCGGACGTGACCCATGAATTCTCAGCAAGCCCCGCTGATTTCAAGTGGGGAACAGACGGCAGTGGGAGCGCAGACGGAGGAGAGCCAGCTTGGTGGGCCGGAGTCTGGTCTCGGCACAGGACCGGGCAAGTGGGTGAAGGGCTTTTATGAATCAACCTGGCCCTGGTGCCCAGATGTTTGGTTTGATGCCAGTGTGGATGTCGGGGAAGGTATTCTTTAGATGAGGTCTAAATTCACATCAGTGCATTTCGAATGAGGCAGATTTCCCTCCGCGATGTGGACAAAGCTGAGGTTTCCAAAGAAGGGATTCGGCCTCCAGATGTCCTTCTTACCCCAGCCAGCACCGAGCCTGCCCTGTGTCCAGTACCCGGTCTCCCCTGCCCACTTGGGTCTTGCCAGCTTCTGCTCTTTTGGGTGTCTCTGCAGGGGGCCCCGTGGAACTCGTGCCTTCCCAGCCCCAGTCCCTGGACCCGTCCTCCTCCCTCCTTCATCCACTCTAGACCGCCTCACCCTCCAGCAGCACTGAGCTGTCCCAGAGCTCCATCCCGGGGGCTCCGGCCTTCCTTCTCTGAGGGGTCCAACACAGGCGGCCTTTCCCGTGTCAGGCGGCAGTAGCAGCAATGGCCATCCACCCTCGCCATGGGAAATGGAAGCACCAACAGGTGCCCGTGTGGTACAGAGAGGATGTATCTCCATGTACGTCACACCCACACTCACATACACTCATACTCACCCTGACTCACATACACCACTCACACACACACATGCTCTCACACACACTCTCTCACACACACTCACGCTCACCCACATACACCACTGACATACACACTCTCTCAGATACACACACTCATGCTCACTCACACACACACACACTGTCCCACACACTCATACACATGCACACTCACACACAATACACACACAGGCACTCACAATCCACACACAGGCAGACACATACACACATGCAAACATCCACACTCACACACACACTCTCCCACATACACTCACACTCCACAGTCACACACGCTCACACACACTCTCACACTCATGTTCACTCACACACATACTCTCACACATACATTCCCACACTCACACAATCTCACATACACATACACATACACTCACACTCAGACTCCCAGACACACTCACACACTCTCACACACACATACACTCACACACAGAGCCCTCTGTTCCAGCGTGCAGCAGCAGGCTGTCCCCCTGCGACGTCGCGTTTGATTTTCCTGGTGGAGCAGACCCTCCTGAAGATGTTTCTACTCTGCGGCAGTGAGGTGCACGGTACACAGGACAGCTGCTGCCAGCATGAGGGCCAGCAGGGAGCAGGGGCAGGCCACCAGGACCCTTCCTTATCCCCAGGTGGAAGTCAGCGCAGACTGAGGCAGCTCCATCCTGGATGCTCGCCCCCATGTGCACCTCTGATTAACTCCAGTTCTGGGAAGGCCTCCAAGGTTTCTACTTTACTGCTCATCAGAAATTCTGCCCTTGGACAAATCCTTCTGAAGCAGGCGTGCCCTTTGTGCCCTGGGTCTCGGGGGTGTCAGCAGAAGGATCCACTATCTTGAGGCTGCCTGAGACATGCCTTCTGCTCGTTAGCCCCACCAAATATTTCTGAGAAACTGGATTTGTCAGCCTCTTTGCTGGCCCCACCAAATGTTTCTGAGGAACTGGATTTGTCAGCCTCTTCACAGGCCTCTCAGCTTTCTGGAACTTTGTGGGTAGGTTTGCATAGACCTGCTCACTGTGGGACAAATGTTTTCCCTTCCCAACAGGACGTGGCATCCCGCAGAACTAAGGTTGCAATGCCCCCACTGGGGGAGACGGGGTCCACACCAAGTCCTCTCCGACACCCGCCCCTCAGGCCTGTGGACCGTCACCGGGGGAGATGGGGGCCACCCCAAGATTCCAGACGTGGAAATGCTTAAAGTGAGTGGGAGAGCAGAAGCCCCCAAGCAGCACAGAGACTCGGCGTGAGGAACAGCGCGTGCGTGCGCGCAGTTGCTTCTTTTTCTGTCTCATAGTCAGGCTTGTGCCCCCGTCCTCCCAGCTGCTTTTCCCCTTGAATTTGGCCATTGTCTTAGTTTGTTTATAACTCTATAATGTAAAACCTTAGACTGGGTAATTTAGAAATAATAGAAATTT